>NC_000005.10:160609808-160912839 GCF_000001405.40 Homo sapiens
TAGGAGTGTATGCTTATACCAGAGGCACTTATCTGGAAAGAGATCAAAGTAGTCCTTTGGAAGCTGGGACTGGCACCAATTATATAAATTCCTCCAATATATGACTAAAGCAAGTCATTGGAGACATAAGCTTTAAAATTAAATCATCTCTTAATTTACTTATTTCCAGCTTTTAAAGTATACAATAATTACCATTCACTGAACATTTAGTATACCTCCTATACTGTGGTAGGAACCTCTAATATGGTGGTTCCCAGTGATCTCCACTTCCTGGTATTCATGCCCTTGTGTAATCTCCTTTTATTGACTGTGGTCTAGACCTAGAGACTCCTTTCTAATGAAGGGAATTCTGCAAAAAATGATGGGATGTCACCTCCCATATTAGGTTATAAAAAGACAGTGGCTTCCAATTTGGTGCTCTTTCTCACTTTCTCTTGGATGATTAGCCCTGAGGAAAACCAGCTGCCATGTTGTATAGCAGTCCTGTGGAGAGGCCCACAGAGTGAGAAACTGAGGCCTGCTAACAGTCATGTAGGTGAATTTGGAAGCAGAACTCCTTCCCATGCCAAAACCACCCACCTGTTGAGCCGTCAGATGAGCCCACAGCCCTGACCAACAGCTTGAGTGCAACCTCAAGGGAGACCTTGAGCTAGGGGTGCCCAGCTAAGATGCTCCTGAACTTGTAATCCACAGAAACCATAAGATAATAAATGTCTGTTGTTTCAGCTCCTAAGGTTTGGAGTAATTTGTTATGTACCAATAGATAATTAGCATAGGTAATGTACTAAAAGTAAGTAGTTTTCTTCTATGATCTTATTTAATCCTACCAGTAATCTGTGAAGTTAATATTTTTTATCTGTTTTACAGATGAAGAGAAGTTCAAGAAGAATGGTGTTTGAGCCATATTAAAACTTCAATATAGGTTGTTAATTATTAACAATATTGCAATAGCAATAATAGTGGTTTTAGTATTAGTTCCTATCTAATACTTTAGTTCCTTTTAAAATTCCTTGACTGATGAACACTTCAGTGATTAGTTAGTAATTCTCTCATCTTCCGGATGAGAATTCTGAGGTCTAGGTCGATCCCATAACTTGATTATTGCTTTAATACACCTAGCAAAGAGATAATAATCCTAAATCAATTTATAGTGAATTAGGCAAATTAAAAACCTTGGAGGAAATATCCACGGAATATGTAACTACATTAAACTAGGGTTTAAATAAGTCTAAGACTTAGAATGTATTTCCCCAGTTTCTGGCTTAACATATTATTTTTCATCCCAGGTAAAGAGATGAAAAGACTAATCTTACAGGTTTAGTGAGCCCAAGGGTGTAGGCATGGCTGAGGATTCAGGCACTGTCCTGGAAGATACTGGACAGAAAGATTCGTCATTGACTGAATTAAAGGTGGAGTATGGCTGACTGTTCCTTAGGAGCTTTGGCTGTTTAACCAATGAGCAGGAGTGCATGGCATTTAGCAGAACACATGGAAGCCCACTCGATCTCCCTCTGGCTGGCTGCCTCACTGGTTTGCAGATGTTCTCCTTCTAGAATTACCTGGAGTGAAAGAATCATTGCAAACCGAATTTCCATTACAAGCAGGACAGGCAGGCACAGGGATCAAGCATTCAAGCAAGCTGAAAATTACTTTCCTTCCTAAGCATAATATTAAAGCCCAAGTTTTCCCTGAGCTTATTTTCATTTTGAAAATTCATTAAGGTTTAATCTAATAATCTGTGCACCTGACAGGAAAGTAAATGATTTTTCCAATTCATCTAAAGGTCCTCTGGCATTTTTCATAATCTACACTAGTTTTATTTTTAAAAAAGAGGTGTATATTGTTGCTTCATGGAATAAAAATGAAATATAAACCTCCCCAACATTCTACTGTAGTCTACATCAGCCTCAGACAAAATTTAGTCCGGTGTCCTCTCTCCCTCCTTTCCTTTTTCCGTCTTCTTTCGTTTTCTCCATGGTATGTCCTCGGTGTAGGTGCCCTACGGGCCCTACGCCCACACCCCTGCAGTAGAGTGCTCTTCTGGTTAATATCCTCCATGGAATCCAACCCCTGCTTCCTTCTGATAGGAGCACACAATCTCAGTGCCCACTTCCCATCTTCATCAGCCAAGAAGATGTGGTGGAACTTTACCTTCTGCAATTTGAATTGTGAAAACAGATACTTCCCCCTAAAATCAAAACGGTGTTATAGCTTTGAATATGCCTCTTCAGCTTTCCCAGTCTTCTCTCCAAACCTCACTCCCTGCCACCCGTAATCTATTCCAGTTGAAAAGTGCCATTTTTAGATCTTTGCTTCATTCTTTCTCTTTCTCATCCCATAAAAACATATTGGCTTCATGCATTATTCCTTTCAGGTTTTTACTCTGTGGCAGACCAGCTTGACATATAAATTGATGCTGAAAATTTAAGCTCTGAATAATTTCAATTTAATTGGGACTTTTTCAATGGATAAGTTAGTCTTAAATAGTAAGAAACCGACAGTTGAGTTTCCATAAGCAAACAGTGTGGTAGAATGTAAATAGCACTAGCTCAGTTCTAGACTTAGTTCTACCTATCAGAAATAAGCAGGGTAAACCTGAGCAAGAGACTTAGCCCCAGTAGTCTTCAGTTTCCTTATCTGTGGGGAAATGGGGAGACTAGACCAATAGTAGAATTTGGGAGAGGTAAAACTTTCTAACAAGCAGTGCCAGAAGTAATGTAAAAGAGACCAGCTAGCCATGTGTGGGGATGAGATAAAGGATATTGGGCTGGATGACTTCCAGGGTCCTCTAGACTCCAAGATTCAGTGATCTGTTGGGGGTTGGGTGCTTCCCTGGTGTACCCAAATCCCACCTAGAAGCCTGTGTCCTCTTGGTTGAGGGGTTGCTCTACACGTTGATATCTGCAGATATCAATACAGAGAATCACCTCACCTGATTCTCTGTATTGATGGTATAAACAGTGTCGGTCTGATTTAACAGTCTGCAGGAATGGGCAATGTTGACCGCTGTCTCCTGCTTATCTCCAGTCAGGACCCAGAGCTGGATCCCAGCCTCCCGCAGAGTGGCAATCGTATCTGGAACTCCTTCCTGCAGCCGGTCTTCGATCCCAGTGGCTCCTGGAGTGATGAAAAACAACAGAGTTCACATTTATCGTAAAAGAGTAGTTGCTTAATTCCCCCAAAGCCATGTGAAGCCAGGCAATGTTTATTGGATAGCATCACTGTGCTAGGCTGTGTACCCAGGATATAACAGTGAACTAGATGGAGCAGGTCTCTACCTCTGAGTTCAATGGTCATTGAATAAGAATTTATAACTGAGCTATATAATGAAAGAAAGTCAGGATACCATGCGAATATACACCAGGAGACCTGAACTTCACCTGGAAAATCAGGGTGGGCTTATGCTGAGGAAGTGCTACTTAAACTGAGACCTGGGAGATAATGCAAAGAGGTGGCAGAGGAGGAAAATTCCAGGTAGAGGGATCAGTGTGTGTGAAGTCCCAGAGACTACAGTAGAGGAAGATGCAGAAATGGAGGCAGAGCAAGGTGAGAGATGAGGCCAGAAAAGGAGCTTAGGGGTGCTGGACTGGGCAGAGCCTTGTCAGGGCCTCAAAGGATTTGCAATTTATTTGGTGGTAGTGAAAGTTATTCAAGGGTGTTGTGCTGGGGAGTGATAGAATCAGTTTTGACTTTTAAGAATATCATTCTAGAGAATAGGTTTGAGATTGGAAAAGCAGGATGAGATTCAGAACTAAAAGCTACTTAGGAGGCCAGGCAGGACTGCAGAGGAGAGGCAGCAGTAGCCTGGACTGGCCTAGCAGCAATAGGAATAGAAGTGGAAAGACTGAAATCTTTGCCCTGCAACTGATCAAAGCAGAATTAATAGGGACTCATATTTTTGATAATATTCTTGGAGTGAATTAAACATGCAGATTCCATAATTTTTGAAGGATCTCAAGCTTTGCACCAGCCCTGATGAATAGATATCCAAATATTGAATAGTTGCTAAGTGATTAAGCAAAAATAAATCTGCTTTTCAATTGAGATTCATTTCAGATCACAGACTAATGGCTACCCATTTCACTCTGGGCAGGAGCACGGCATTTTGTTTCTTTTAATAATCCAGAGTGACAATAGGTTGGCAAAGTGGTTACGTTGGATGCATATTGAAAAGATTATTTCATATTTTGAGACAGCATGAAGGCATTACAGCTTTTTAGTGGTGTGCCAATTTCTCGGTGGAAAGTGGAATTCTCTTCTCAGCCCAGTCCTCTCCAAGCCATCTTGAGGGGAGACAAAGAACCCCATTATCCTGAAATGTGCCTGTTTTGCATCTGAGGGCCATATGCACAGGTAAACAACCCCATAAAAAGTGATGGCTTGAGCCTCATCTTCCCCTATAAGCGTTAGTCTGGAAGGTGAGAAGAAGCTCACTTATTACGGTGAGGCAGAGTGAAGGAGAGAGGAGGAAAAACACATTTATTTGTGTGAAAGAGAAAATGAAACAGGAAGGTTGTGAAAGCCTTTCCCAGCTAGGGGAAGCCAACAGGTTCTGATAAGTGTGTTCTCTTCACCCAGAAGAACCGGAGGAACACCTCTCACAGACTGAGCCTAGAGTGCTGTCATGAAACAAAAGAAACCTCTGGGAAGGGAGAAAGGGATCAGGAGCCTGAATGGGATGACTTTCTGGTGGCATCATCTGGCAGATAGAGTTGTCTGGCCCAGCCATCCTCTGGTTCCTGTTCAAGTGAGTTCTTGTGTTCAGCTTTAAAGGGGACCTTATGAGGTAGCAAGCAGAGGCCTCTGCAGCCGAGACATAGGAAACCAAAGGCTGAAGGATGTGGGGAGCTAATGCATGCCCCAACCCCATTCTCCCTCCTCAGCTTGTCAGCCATCCCACTTGCCAGCATCACCACTTTACAGTGACCTTGGGTCTTTCCCCTTGGAACTCCTATTTGGCTGGGCAGCTGGAGGCATGTGACTCATCCAGAGAAGCCAAGTCTCAGAGGAGTGTGTCTCTGTCCAGAACTTGGTCCTCATCCCCAGGTCAACACTGTCCACCAAGAATAAAGAAGGCTTTTTGCCACGTGGCCAGTGCATGCTGTTTGGGCATTGTTTACCCAGATTTTGCTCCCAAGGTGTGAGGACATTAATCCTGTTGAATAAAGCTCCCCTTGCTTCTTGGCAATGCCTTTCCTCCAACAGAAGCACAGCCTGTCTCTTAATCAGTCTCTGTGCTTCTCTTCTCTCTCTCAGCATAGCAATCTAACTTCCATGCTGCAGCAAGCAGCAGTTTTTGTAAAGCACAGATCTGTCCCTGCTTTCACCCTCTGCCCTCTCCAAACCTTTAGCAGCTGATTGACATGACCCTTCATAATCTGGGTCCTGCTGACCTTTCCTGCCTTCCATCATTTCTCCCCACTCTGTTTCCCCCCAGCCCGGGACCTCCAGGCCTTCAATTGGGTCCTCCTCCTCTGCCTAACCAGCTTCTCTTCTTGCTTTCAGTTCACTGCCTTCCTAGACCCTCCCTCACCCCTGTGCTAGGCTGGCATCTCCTACTTTTTGTGCTTCCATCCCACCAGGCCCATCTGCTAGCCCAGCTCTCACCAGTCTGTTGAAATTGCTTGCTCGATCATCTAGTATCCTCACTAGACTCCAAGATCTGGGAGGGCAGACTTTTTGGCTCCTGTCCCTTGTTGCAGCCCCAAAGCCTAGCATGTCACTTGGCACATAGTAGGTGCTTAGCAAACATTTGAATGAAGGGAAGAGTGTGCTGTTGGAAAAGCAGCCAAACTCAGAGGCTTCTTCCAGCAGGGAATGCAGGAATGCTCCCAGAGCATCCTCAGGAAGCTGTGTGTGGTGTCTGGGTTGGGTATTGGCATGGCCCATTTGTGCCAAATACCTGGAAGGGAACCCCAGGGAAGGCTGCTAATGGAGACATATTAGTAGTGTCAGAATCGGGGCCAAGAGCTCCCTTCTCAACTGGCTGCATTCCTTTTTTCCTATAATAATGACTTATTTTTAGCTACCAAGTAAGGTGAGTTGATTCTCCAGATGCTGTGCAGTTTCCATGAGAAGCTCATCTCGGTTGTCGAGGGATGCCTCAGCCTCACGCCGGAAACTGGCCCATCTCCGGAAGTCCTCTTCGCTTACAACCTATGGGATGGGAAAAGGCTCCTTAACAATCTTGGGTGGACCAACAAGATAATTTCCTCTCTCTTCCCACCTGCTGGGTCTCCTATTGGCCTGTTTGAACTTCCCTACATAATTAGATGGGGCTTTCTTCTCAAAGACTTTTTTTTAAATATGTAAATTAATGAAGATTTATCCTTGTGTTCCATTATCACTAAAAATCTATTGTGCTCAGATCACTGGAGATGATCTGGACAGACAAGGTCCCTGCATGCCTGGGCTTATATGGTGGTGGAAGGTGAGGGGTATTATCCAAATAAATAATTTAAAATAGTTATTTCAGGGAATGCTAGGTAGTAAATGAGTGATATGAGAAAGTGTGATGGGATAGAAGAATAACTGAATAGGGGGCTGCCTTCTTTTGAAGTTTAGGTTTCCTCGACAAAATGACCTGCAAGCTGAGATCCAATGACAGAGGGTCAATCATGGGCAAGAGCAAGAGTTAAGGCTGTGGAACGGCAATGAACTTGGCCTTCCTTCTGTTCCTTGAATGAAAGACGGAGAAAGTTCAGAAATGAGGCTGGAAAGAAAGCAGCCTGTAGAGCACTCCACCAGGCATGGTGTCATACACATGGAGTGCCCAGTAGCTGGAATAATCCAGCTAGTGGCCACATCTTCTTCCCTCAGAGTCCCATTTTAGACCCTCCTGTTGACATTACATGCATATGGTGTCTTATAGCAATGAAAAATTATTTTGTTCAAGCATCAAATATTCCCTGAGTCCCTCTGCATGGCACTATAGAGAAAACGAAAGGGAACAAGTAGGCCTTTTGCTTTTGAGGAATGCATAGTCCATTAGGGGAGGCAAAATATGCACAAATAACTTTAATAGAAAATGGTGGTAAGGGTGTAATACTGATTCAGAGTAGCAGTAAGCATTTGTTGCTGTCCCAGGTGCTGCACATGTGGTTATTTTAGTTAATCTCCATGACAACTGCATGAGGGAGGGCTGATTAGCACCATTTTACAGATAAAACTCAGAAGTGAAGAAATTGCTCAAGGTCACACATCTAAAAGTAGTGAGATTGGGACTAGTACCCAGGTGGTTCTGGCTTTAAAGTGGGCACTCCTGATCTCTAATGCTGACCTAAGAACCATAAAAGACATGAAAAGTCCTGGGGATTTATGCAAGAGAACCCATGTCTAGCCATCTAGAAATGTATGCCCATCATAGCACCCCATTAGCTTTGCTTTTGGGTGACTCATTCGGTGTCCACACTCTGCAATTCGCAGCCCTCACTGCCTGCCTGCCTTGCAGAAGTTGCAAAGTCAAAGATCTTGCAAAGCATGAGTTAGGTAATCTACAAAACTATGGCTGGGCTGAGTGCAATGTGATAGGGAGAGGTAGAGAGTGGTAGGGACTGTGGCCAACCACAGAACACAGCTGAACATATCCCTCATCACAGGAATCAACTTCTTCCTGGTTGTAGCTGATTGCTGCCATTCTAGAATGAAAACACAGTTGGCCAGATCCTCTACATTTTTAAAAGAAACCGGAAATCTAGATTTTTATGTGACCATATAAAAGGTCCCCAAATTTAAAGGAAAATAATGCATACCTAAAAAATATAATTGGAAAACAAAATTATAACTGAAAAAATGTCATGAGTTGTGTGTTACCCATTACACATATAATGAAAAGCAGGGCATGGCAAAGCCACACTGATATGGGACCTAGCTCTTCAGATTTTGGCTTCCACAAAATTGTCAGTGTCTTGGGTTTTTGTGGCAAGTCAGAACAGCTAATCTTGAAAATGTTAAAACAACCACCTCTAAGGGTCTTTTATAAAGAAAAAGAAGCAGGGTCAAGGCCATTCAGCTATTTAATGATATTCAAAGCACGCTTGGAGGAATTGTTCTTACCTTCTTGGCAATGCATAGTGTGCGCAGGCCATCTCTTGCATACAAGTCTAGATGCTTTTGGGTCCGGGCTCGGATTTTTCTCAGCTTCTTTTCCATATTAATGTCAGGTACTGTCAAATAGCCATTTTCCCGCATGAGGCCACATACAAATGCTCAGGGATCCCCATCCCCAATACCCTGGAATCTCCTGTAGTAGACTACAAATACTTTAGAGAAGGAATCCCTTACAGCCCACCTTAGAAACCTGAAGGAGCTCTCCTGGCTGTCAGGTTGCCCTGGAAGATAATGCAGGGAGTCCTTAAGCTGTCTGCTCTCTACATCTTTTCATCAAAAGCCTGGCTGAGTAAAGTGCTATGTAAGGAAGGTAGGTGGTCTAAGGTACTGTTCCCAAACAGCTGTTTGCATGAGAACCGCCTGGGAATTTAATAATTGAGATTCTCAGGTCCAGTTAAAGCCCAGCTGAATCAGGGGACTAGAAGTTTGAATCTTTATTGTTACCTAAGGTGTTTTTAGTTGATCTCTGGATGGCCAACTGACTTTGGAAACTGTTCTCTATTTATCATCTTCTCTATCTTCTACTTGAGGTCTTATATCAAATTAGGTCCCAAGACATCTACAAGCCTGGATCTCATTAGCTAAGTTCCTCATTTCATTTGTTTAGCTGAGCTAGGCCTTCTCTCAATGCAAGAAATACGTTTAGAGAAAACATTCTTTTATGCATTTCCTATGAATGTAGTATGAAAAATATGTGTGTTGCTCAAAGTCCCCTTTGTAAAGTTGTACATAAGTTTCTGTCAGAGGTAATTTGTCTTTTTCTCTTGAAATTCCAGTTCCTTTATCTAATTCTATAATAAGAATTTTTCAGCCAAGGTTGGCTGGTGTGGGGTGGGATTGATGCCATCAGCACTTCCTTTATCTAAACTGCCACAGACATCATTTATCAGTCGCTTGTAAAACTGAGCTAGGCTTCAGAATCATTTTTTACCAGGGCTGGATTGAGATTTTTTAAAGGTCCTAAGATTGAACAGAATTTGTATACCTCACCCATCCTTGTATATAATGCAAAATTAAAAATGTAATTCTTAACAGAAAAGTATAATGAAGTCCAACAAAACTCTGATTTTTCCATGATACTACTCCAAGGCTGTTTTTATATAATATAAAACTTGTTTCAAAGATTATTTTCTCATTTTTCAGGTGTTGCTGGCGCCTTAAGCATAGTCTTCATTTGTGCATCGCCTGATTCGGCACTATTTACAATATTTTATTTTTAAAGACACCAGCTCCTGAGATTAAACCTGTTTGTCTTTTACTTGTAAGCCTTGGAGTTTACCTTCTTGCTAAGGCTGCCAGGAACCTCAGCATCAAATTGAACATTTAAACACCATAAATATTATTAAACCTGAGGTCATTTTCTCCCTCCTTTCAAAGTTTTGCTTCTCAATTCTTATAGTAACATTGTGTGTGTGACTTCTATTGAAGGCATCTCTAATCCATTTTTCAATCAGGTGAGGAGCAAATAAAGAGACATCTCCAGGGCAGCTTGGATGACTGGCTGCTGAGGGATAGAGTGCCGTGGCTCCCTTGACTCAGAAGTACTGAATTCACTTGTCTGCCAGAGTCTGGGAATAAAGAGAACTAATTAGCTCCCTTCCCATTCTACACACTAATCAATCCCCATAAACCTCTTGGCCCTGATCCATGGCTGATAATGCAGGAGGCACAGGGCTGCCTGGGCAATTCTGAAGCTTGGCTGGAATCTACTATCCTGGGAGAATCATAGCCCCATAACTGTCTTCTCCTTGTTAGCAATCAGGAAGCGGCTGCACACTAATTCATGCTGTTCCAAAATTGGACACTGATATGTAGGGACTTTGGAACATTTTTCTGGCTCAGTGCACGTTTATGAAAATCCATCTGGGGGAGGCTGGGGAAAAGGATAATAAAGAGGAACACCTGAGGCTTCCCAGAGTACACCAAGCCCAGTGCAGAATTCTGGCAGCATGAAACAAGCTCTGACCTGGAATTCAGGATACCTGGGTCTGGGATTTAACACTAGTTAACCATGTTACCTCTTGTAAGTCACTTTTCTTTCTAAGTTGAGTGTGCTTTTCTCCAAAATGAAGAGTTAGGACCACAATGTGTTCCATGGTAAGATAATGGATGTTCTAGTGCAAAAGACTGTGTGGATAATCCATGTTTAAATGAGTTTGGAAAACTGGGATGAAGTTAAAGATGTTTATCTGCTACAAGACTGTACAGTCTTTAAATATGCTAATGGACACTGTGATTCCCTAGGTCCAGGAGATGTAAAATGCAGCATGTTTTAAGGATATTTGAGGAAAACATCTTGTAGGTCTGTATTCCAGTTGGGACCTGCCATACCAGGTGACACTACAACTTGAGCTTCTTATTACCATTCCACACTGCTTCTTAAACTATAGAACTCTCTGTGCCTGGAACCCTGGTAAGGCAGGACTCACCGCAGGCTGGGTCTTCCAGCAGGTCCATGATGACCGAGTCAGCACCCTTGGTGTAGACAACAATCTCGCCAGTCAGTGGGTGCCTCACAACCACAGACATTCTCTTCCTGACAGAGTCAAAGCCCAGGGTGCAGAGGAGGCTGAAGGTGAGGCAGGTGCCCTGGGGCAGGCGCACAGTCACCTGCTCAGGTGTCCGGGACACTAGTGTGAAGCTGTAGGCATGGGCAGCGTGCACCAGGGCGGCCTCATCAGGGCTCTCAGCCTCGTAACAGAACTCAGGCCTGGCCAGGTCTGTGGCTGGGGCCTCCAATGCCTCCTCCAAGGAAGTGCCTGACCCAGACTCCAGGATGTCGCCCTGGTCCCACATGCTGCTCCTGTAGCCACCGTCATCAGTGGAGTCACCTCCACTGCACACAGATGCATCATCTCTCTCATCCGAGTCTGTGGTGGCCACGTTGGCCCCTAAGCTCTCCCCGAGGTCTGTGTCAGAGGGTGCAGTGGATGAGAATGACTGGCTGAGGCTCAATAGCTTCAACTTCTGGAAGAGCTGCTGAATCTTCTCCAGGGACGTCCCCAGAGCCTTGCTTGAGGGTTTGATGGTGACCTTGTGGCCAAAGAAGGAAAGTGGAATATTACTCTCAATGTTGGAAATAATACCAAGTTGTCTTATGCGGAATATGAAGGTACTTTTGCAATAAGTGAAGCCAGATATTTTCCTCCAGCCCTGAAATTCTAAGCATTGACAATGGTCATTTTCCACTATCTTTTGATCATCCCACTGTGAGCGTGGAGAAAGGAAGGAAAAGGAGATGAGAATCAGAAACTCATAGTAAGGGTTCACATTTCCTGAACTCTCACTATAAATGCTTCTGCTTTATCTTTGAGTGCGGTATCTCATTTCATCCTCCCAATAATTCTGTGGGATGCTATCATCAACCCAACTTATGGCTGAGGACATTGAGGTACAAAAAGTCTACATAAATTGGCCATGATCACCCAGTGTGTAGGGAGTAGAGTTGGAACTCAAACCCAGGTCTCCTCGACTCCAGAGGCTGGGCTCTTGAGCTACCTGCCAGCTGAAGCTCCCAGCCAGCTGAAGCTCCCACATTAACTTGAAAATTGGGAGGTGCCTACTGTCTTTCCCCAAATGGTACTTCTTCCCCTCTTAAAAATGAATTAATTTTTAAGATAAAGCTTTCTGCCTCCAAAAACTTCCTGAAGACTTCTGATAACATGCTGACTTTTCAGTGCTGAAGTGATTTTCAGGGTGGTTTGGAATCTGGGCATAATGAAGGGAGGTTGTGGTTTAGTGCCTGGGTGAAACTTCTTGTCTTGGTTTCATAGTTGCAAGTTGTACCACCTAATTATTCTCTCAGTGACTCACAGCTCACAGGGGTGATTGGCTAAGAGTCTGTGGAAGATTGAAGGCAAATCCACCTTCAGTAGATTTCAGAGTATAACTTCACATACATGACCATTCAGCTGCATTTTTTTCCATGGGAAGAACATTACACACAGTATTATTTTTAACCCGTATATAAAAACAGAGAGCAATATAGCACAATATTACTAGAAACCATTATGGAATTGCATAGATGGTTCTGCCATTTATGAGCCATATGTCCTTCATTACCTTGAGTTTTCTGAGCTACTATTTCTTCGCTTGTTAAATCTAAGGTCCTGCCTCATAGAGTTGCTGGGTTGAGAGGATTAAATGATAATACAGGTAAAGTGCTGGGTATGGAGCCTGGCATAAAGCCAAGTGCTCAGTAATCACTAACTCTTAATGTCTACCTGCAGACACATAGACAAAGTTTGAAAGCTACACAGAAAGCTCATATGTATCTTTTTCCATTTTATTTAAAAATGAGGAAACAGACCCAGGGAGGGTAAGAGACCTATTCTAGGTTTCACTGTGATGAAATGACACTGTTGCTAGGACCCAAATTTCATGTCTCCCTGATCAGAACTTCTCCCCTCGCCCCTACCCTGCCTTCTACTCCTCTACCTCCTTTACCCTCCTCCCCCAGCCATCGCTGGTCCTTACCCTCTGCCTGGGCTCGGTGGTTGTGGACACCATGACAGAGTTGCAGATGGTTAAGGCAAGGAAGAAATCAGCAATGGAGGAGGTGGTGGAGAGGGAAGCCTTGGCAGGTCTGCTGTCTGACAAGGTCTCCAACCACAGGGCAGCATCTCGAACCTTGGTCAGTAGGTTTTTATCTGGAGTTACATCTTTTTCCTGGAAGAGAAAGGCCAGAATGAGAGTCTTTTCTGGGAAGGAAGCCCACTCCAGAAGAATCTTCACATGCCTGGGGAAAGGATGATGCAGCTTCATTGCAGTCTTGCATCCAGCATGTTTTCCTCTCCCACAGGTCTGGCCATTGCCAATTCTTATTTGAGTCCTTCCTGCCTCTCAGTGCCACATGTCCATCCATTACCAGATGCTGACAGTTCTTCACTCTCAGTGTCTTCCCACCATTTGTGTTGCTTCCAGCCATGCTGAGACCCTCTACCCCTCAATCCTGAATTTCTGCACCAGCCTCTAAACTAATACTGTTGCCTCTCACCTTTTTTTTTCTAATCCTTCCTATGTATCACCTGCACAGTCTTCTTAAAACTCCATTTCCTCCTGGCATTCTTGACTTCAAAAAACCTTCAGGAGATATCCATTGTTAGCGTGATCAATTATTTGGCATTTAGATTCTTTCACAGTTTGCATTTTCACTCTTTATTCCCATGCTTCTCAACATGGACCCTCAGCTCAGCCTGGTGGTCTGTTTGCTGCCTCTTGGATGTATACTCCTGTATTCCTCTGATCACACTTTGCTTGAAAAATCCTCTTCTACCTACCAAAATCCTACCTAGACTTCAATAACCATGGGAAGTCCCGCTTGTCCGTGAGATCCTATATAGCTCACAATGAAGTCTCTTTCTCCTGAACCACAATAGCAGATTCTTAACTCAGAATGTCCACAGGAGTCAGGCATGTAAAGTGAATGAGGAAGGTGGGCCAATGTAGAGTAGAGGACATTATGGGGTGGTGGGAGCTATGAGACCTAGCAAGTCCTACCACTATCTAAAGGGTAGCTACTGCTCTGCTGAGTGTAATGCTCCAATACTGGTCTAGTTTGCCAAGTCTCTTGATTTTTCAAGATAAAGCAAAGATGATGCATGACCTATTTTTTTTTTTTCTTTTCCTCCTATTCTTCTTTGGAAGAAAAAAGAGGACGGGCTGGATCTGACCCATGGATTTCCAGATTTTCACATCTTTCTAGAAGTTACCACTTGAACCATCCCTTTGGAATTCACTACATATTGACCTATATGTTATTTGTTGGCTTATTTTCTCTTGCTCTGGCTCCTCTATTTTACCCCAGGGATCTGATGCCAGAAAAGCTTCTCTCAGGCAGTGAGATCTTAACCAGAGCAGAGGTGGTGGTGGCAATGGCAGTGGTGGTGTCTGGTTTTGTCTATCTCCCTGCTGGCATCTTGCTTTGGCCTGTATTTTAAATTCACTTTTCTTATGTCCTTGTTTAATCTCTCTAGAGATAAGGTAAGAGCCTCAAAAATAGAGAGGTTGAGTTTTCCATGAGGCTGTATTTCCTAGAGCTCTAACTACAGCTTTTTTGAAGCAGAAGCTCAACAAATGCCAGCTCTCAATGGTTAGATATGACAAAAGCCATTTTGCACAATGCTTTCACATAAGACCATTCCTATCAGTGTTCTGAGTTCACAGCTAAATCACGGTTTAGAAGACAGTCAATGGCTGAAAATGATAGACTGAGGGAATCTTGATTAATTTGTGCAGGGTGAAGACTGAGGGCCAATGAACTTTACCCAAGTTGAGAGTTTAAAAACAAAAACAAAAAACCCATGGGAAAAGAGCCCTCAGACTTTTCTGACTACCAAATGCAATGACTCCCAGAGGTCTGATTCTGTCCTCCCTAGGGCTGCTGGCACAGGAGAGCCAGAGGGGAGGAAACTCAGACATACCCCACAAGAATGGAGCACACACTCTTCAAGAATACCAGCCTTCATTCTGGGTGCTCTTCAGGAGTCCACAGTCACACCCCAACTTGTTCATACCATTGTAAGAAGACAACTTCCAGAAAAAAAGTCTACTTACCAGAAGCAAGAGGGCTAATAAAACTGAATCAGACCTACATTTCCTTCCATTGCCCTGAAAACAATTGTGTGAACCATCCATACCATGTGGTGTCATTATTTCCAAAATCCTGAGAAGGGCACACACATATTATCCATGCTCTCTGCCTTTGACTCCAGTCTTCCTAGTAGGCGCTCACATTTGTGAAACTCTTCTTACCTTCCCAAGCAATGTCATTTATATAACCTCATCAGATTCTTATAGTCCCAAGTTGAGATGAAATGAATCCCGACTTAACTAAAACCCATAGAGACAGGCTGATTTGACCAAAGTCGCCTAGTGAGTTAGTGTAAAGCCAGAATCAGAGCTCAGACTCCTGAACTGCTAGTCTAAGGTTTTTCATTTCTGTGGTCACAGTATGTTCTCTTATTAATATTTCTCTGCAAACTTCTAAAACCAGATTCCAGGGACCATCTAGTGTTTGTCATCAAGTCACCAACACCACTCAAGGAACTCCAAACCTATTTCTCAACAGAGTAATGACAGCTCGTATTCATGTGGTGTTTCTTATGTTCTAGTACATCCATGGCCTCGTTATATCCCTGCAGTAACATTATCTATTTAGTACCATCATCCTCCCAATTGTCTCTGTATTTAAGATGAGGAGACTGATGCCCAAGGAAGTTGATTGTCTTGCCCAAGGTCACACAGTAAGTGGGAGGAATTCTTTCAGTTGATTTCAGTTAGTCTGACCCTAGAATTCATAATCTTAACACCTATATCAGGCAAGATCCTGCATGTGAAAGAAGTGGCCTTTGAGACTTGCTACCACCCAGGGTCTTTAGTGTCTGGGCATCTCAAACACAATAGATGCGTTTGTATATCTAATCCTTAAGGCTCAGCAGATAGTCCATGAGAGTGATAAAAGGGATTATGGAAAATTTCATTTTTTCAGAAAATAGATTTCTTTTTTAGGGGGAGGGTACATAAATGAGATGCTGTTAAATCTTACTGCCACAGGTACCCAAGTTGAGGAACAAACTTGGAGATGTCAAAGCTAAATCCCCTATTTTCCTGATGCCAAAATTGAGTGTCAGAAGGAGGAAACTGCTTGAGATCACACACTGATTTAGGGTCAGAACTAGGACAGTTTTCATACCACCTGACTCCCATCCTCTTATAACACACTGCTTTGTTCCAAGCTATGCATTATGTATTTCCAAATGCTGACACAGTTAACATGCTTCAAGTTATTTAGTCCATTTTCATTTACCCACTAGTCTGTAAGTGCTATGAGGGCAGAGACTGTCTCTGATGTGTCCCTCATGCCTGGTGGATTGTTAAGCACTCAAAATATTTGTTAACTGACTCCTTTCTAGGATACCACAATAGCTCACCACTGATTAACTCCTGCTGTCTGTTCATTAAAACTACTCTTTTATATATTCCCATCCAATCTTGTAGCAATGCATTAAAACAAAGGCCTTCGCTGTAAAAGGCCCTGGCTCATCCTGCAGGTGCCAGGAACAGATGTCAGCTAACCTTTACCCAGTCACCACAGACTTGTTGCCACAGGGCAAGGCTCTTCATGGCTCCTTTTGCTCCAGCCCACTGGTTTCCCATGTGGACCATTAACATTTAGAAACTTGGCACTTAGAGCACTTAGAAAGAAAGCAGTGTCCTTACCCATTGCTGACCATTGTCCAGACTATTTCTCGGAAGAAAAAGAAATATACATTTGTGGGGCCACCAGTTTTTTATGTAAGAGCTTTGTGGCAGGCAGACACTCAACTAGTTGGATTTCTTTCCATTGTAGACCATCTAAAATGCATACAAACCCCCTTTGAGGAAGCTGATTTTTGAGCTCAAACGATATCCTCAAGGGTCCTATTATCATTAGATTACACTTACTGAGAATGCATAGCATAACAAAGTCAGGCACTGGGCTAAGTGCGCTCACATCCATTATCTAATCATCCTAAGAGCACTGATATGGTTAGTATCATTCCACTTTAATTATGAAACAAGCGAGGCTCATTGAAGTTAAGTAACTTGTCCCAGGTCATAAAATCGCAGATAATGTGCTGGGACTTAAATTCGGTACTGCCTGATGCCAAAGTCTAAACCCTTTAACGCTATGCCAACATTTCTCAAACTTTAACATGTACACATGTCAACTGGGGATCTCATTAAAATGCAGATTCTAATTCAGCAGCTCCGAGTGGGGCCTGAGCATTGGCAATTCTGACAAACTTTCAGGTGGTGTTCATGCTGCTGCTCCGAGGACCACAGTTGGAGTAGCAAGGGTCTGTGTTACATGACAACCCTACTGTTTTCATTCCTTTCTGGCTGGGATGTGTTCCCACAATGAAGCCTGGGAAAAGTAGGCCAAACTCTACTCTGCTATTCTTCTTTCAGTTTTAATAATAACTCGCCCAAGTTCAGGTATAGCAGTTTGTTGCTACAGGAATCCAGAGAAGGAAATAAACAGGAACCCTGGTTCCTGAGCTTTGAAGAAAATCCTTCATGGCATAGTTCCTCTTATGTCTCTATTTCCTCCTCCTCCTCCTCAGATTGCACCTTTCATTCCAGCTACTCCGAAGAACTACAATTCTCCATCTTGCTTCTACAGATTGTCTCCTCTCACAACCTGCACTCCTCATCCACTCCTCACTAGGTGGTCTCCTTATTCCTCCAGTTAATATTTACTCCTGTCTCAAAATTCAGCCCAGGGGCCAACCTTTCCAGGAAGCTTCCTTGATGCCCCAGTATGATATAGCTGCACCTCTTCTAAGCTCCTATAGCACCTCTGCAACCACACATCCCAGCCCAGAGAGCATTGTCCCATAGTCACTGGTGCTCCTTTTGCCCCTTCATTGAGCTGTAAAATCCTGAAAGCAGGAGCAATGTTCTATTAGACTTTATGTCCCTAGTCTCTAGGACAGTATATGCCACAGAGTAGATGCTTACTGAATGTTTGTTGACTGACCCAATAAATGAAAGGCTCTTCTAAAGAAATGTAGACACTGGCAGAGGTGGGAAGAAGCAGGCCCTTCTGTTTGTTGTTGGTGAGTGTCTCAACTGGTACAACGTCTTGGGAAGAATCAACCAGAATAAAAAAATGCACATACTGGCCAATTTAGCAATTATGCTCTAAGAATACTGTAGAGAAACTCAAACACATATATAAACAGATGATGGCTCAACCATCCAACGAATTCTAGCAGTCATTAAAAAAAATAAAAGATGAGGCAGCTCTCTATTGAATGTCTACCTGTCTGTCTACACATAGGAAATATTCTTTAAAATTCATTAGGTTAAAAAAGCACAGTCCTAAACAGTGGGAACGGTATGCTTCCACTTGTGAAGGATGTGCTTGTGTATATGCCATACTTGTCTGTTTCTGTGCACCTTTGGGAAGGACACACAGAAGCTGCTAATCGTTGTTGTGCCTGAGGTGGTGGGAAGAGAGGAGGGAGGGACACTTACTTTCCACCATCAGCTTTTGGTTCCTTTCAATTATGTAACCCTGTGGGCTATGACTATTATGGCAACATTTTCCTGGTTGCTGGGGAGCTGGAGGCTAACACTGTTTAGGGCAGTGATGGTTTTGTCCTGTCTAAGGCTCTGGCCTTAATGACATTTAGTTTGAATCAAGAACTGGGAAAGTCCAATGTTAGTAAATGCTCACTTAAATAGGAACACATGGATTGTTAGGGGAAGCTTTTCCCAAACGGGGCATAAGCCCAAAGAAAAAAACTCAGTGGTGAAGCAAGAAGGGAGTTTTCCAGATCTTGTCAGTTCCCACCTCTTGTGAACAGTGTCACTGAGGCTGGGTCCCCCCACCCCGATTTGAGACACTGGGGAACAAGGGGAGTACAGATAGGCTTCACTGCTTCCTGCCCTGTGTGATCACATCACTTCCAGAAAGATTCTGTGTACTTGGCTAATTAAATCAGGACTCTTATCTAACCTTACAGTGGGAGTGTGTGTATGTGGGCTGTCCCACCGATTTGGAGCAGACTGGGAGTGCTGCATAAATCTCTTCCAAAGAAAGAAAGGCAGACCAAGATTAGTGAAAGGAGGCAGAGGTCCAATGACACCTCCTTCGCTCCTCTCTGTTGCATTCTCTTCAGAAGGGTGGGGTGGCGGGGGGGATGTCCACAAAGGAAAGCAGTGTGGAAGTTTGGAGGAGCCTAACTGGCCCCAATACAAATTTTATGATTAGGAAGATATTCTGTGGTCTGATGGCACTGAAAAACATTCTGCAAGTGGCATTTTTACACAAAGACTCTCTGCTGAAATCTTGGCTGCGTACAGACAAGGAGAAAAAAAACCCATTTCATTTTCCATCTGCCAGTACTATTAAACATTGGCTTGGGACTCAACTCACCATTTTTATAAGTATATTACCCCCACCTTAAAGCCACAGATTTTATTGCAGGCAATTAGGTGACAATCACTGATGGTTTCTTGTTTTTTTTTGTCATAAAAGAAAAAAAAACAGCTTTTGTTGTTGCTGTTTTTGTCGATTGTTATTTTTGATTTAGAGCAAAGGGCCAAGGAAGCCAACAACTGGCTTCTTTAGAAGGTGGTAGAATGCTCCCTGGAGGTTTCAGAGGCAAATTTTGACTGAGTTCACTAAGGGAAGGTAAAGAACTGGTGATTCCAAGAGATGATCAGAACAGATTGGGTGCCAGATGGGCAGGTGCAGGAAGGCACAGAAGGCAGGTGGAAGGGGACAAGTGCAGAGAGTCTGTCAGGAGTGGGTGGGGGTGGGCACCGAGACAGCCACCTGGGGCTGCCACAGGAGCTCTCTAGGGACGGCTTCAAGGATCTGACACCAGCTAGATGTATTTGATGGGTTAGCACAAGAGTCCTTAAAGGCTGCATACTTCACTCCCTTCAGCAAATGCCTCCCAAGCTGTAGAAAGTGCCAATTTGAGCCAAGTGAAGACTCTTTCCTGGTGGGGTGATGGCCTGCTTATGGAGGGTCCCCATCTTGGCTGCTCCTTAGAATTATCAGAAATTAAAATATAAGTGCTCAGGACTCACACAAGACCAAATATACCAGGATCTCAGGGGAGAGAGTTCAACAACTGTATTTCATGGAAACTCCCCATTTTCTCTTTATGACATCAGATATGTGAACATTTGTTCAAGGCAGACAGCTTCCCTTTAGAAAGATCATTTAAAACTTCCATTAGGTATCTGTCTAGAACACACAATTTTAAGAATTAAATCCTCAAAATAAACTCATGAGCCAGAACAATTGTCTTCATTTTAACAATGGGTAGGTTGAGGCTTCCATTTCAGTAAGCCCACCAAAGTCACAGAGCTAGTACATGGGGTAGCTGAGATGAAAACCTGACACATTAGACTCCACGTGTGCCTAATTCATAGCTGGAAGTTAGCCTGCAGGTCAGCAAAACATTATGTTATTTGATCTTTAGAACAGCCTGGTGAGAATTGTAAGTAAAGTATTTTCAGGTGGTGAAAGAGACATAGAAGGAGGTTTAACATGTTGCTTAAGGTTACCCAGCAAGCCAGTAGCAGAACTAAAACCAGAACCTCCATTTCCTAACTCTTAGCCCAGTGCCCTTCCTCAAAACTACTCAAAAATACAATTGTTCCACTAACCCCAGATTTTTAAGTGACCTTATTACATAAGAGTATACTTAGCTGTTCATAAAAAGAACATATCACCATCTTCCCTTCACCAGGCAACAAGAATTGGAACTTAACTCGTGTCAATTTCCTTACTGCTCCTGAATGAACTTAGTCAGAACTTGCCTTTGGGACTGCCAGCCAGGGCAGGATGATGACATCTAGGATCTGGAGATAGCTCTGGGGTTAGTGTGTCCCTCTCACTGGCCATCAGCTAAAAGCCCTGCATCCAAGATTTACTGCCTGGACCAGGGATGCAGTTTTTCTGGGCTGCTGAGACTTGTCAGACTGAACAAGGGGCAGTGAATTGATGTGACCCAACTGAGATCCACAAAGGAAAGCTTCCTTTTTCTCCCGCTCATTTTCTGGGGGAGACATACTCAGGCATGTGGGATGCCTGTGGTATCTAGAACTGGAAGATGCCAACGACACACAGAATCTGTGCCTAATGAGAATTCACTAAGGTCATTTTACAAATATTTAAGAAAATAACTCGGGGAAGTGCATTACATTTATGGGGGCAAAATTAAGAAGGATGTAGCAATATACACACCTTGTTATTATCTCGTTTGGGAAAATAAAAAAAACCATGAAAATCTTCCTGAAGACATCTATGGATCATTTCACTTGTGTATTTATGAAGGTCATATGTCTTAACACACTGTTCTTGCCTTATCCTTGCTAATGTTGCATTTCCGTGCATGACAATAACCCGAGAGGGAACTCAACTTTGTCCTCACCCAAAGTTAGATGAGTAATGACCCAGAACAGAGGCTCACAGTGTTTCTTCTTTGTCACAGTCAGAAAACACAGTCCTTGGTTATGAATACTAAGTAGCAATATGGAAAATGTTTTTGATATCAAGTTAAAGAAAATCCCAGCATCTACAATTGATATGTACCATGATTACAAAAAATGTTAAATATATGTGGTTATGTGTGTGTGTATTCATGGGGGAAATAAAAGACTGGGAAAAAATTGGCCAAAAGGACCATTTTTATAATCTAATTTTCTAATAAAGGGATGGTAGCCCTTTGGGTCCCATCTGTTAGTATGTATCTCTTGTTCAAGATTGCTGGGGCTCCCTGTGGCCTCTTGTGCAAGTGCAGAGATTCCAGATGATGTGTTTTTATGTTCCCCGGAGAAAGAGTGTGTGCAAAGGAAAGAGGAATAGGACAGTGGGCAGAAGCCCTGGTCTTGCCTTGACTTCTAAGAATGCTGTGTGATCTCTGGGGAGAAACTTGGTTTTCTTTGCTTGCTACCTGGATGTTTGCTGATGGCTATCCTAGTGGATCAAATGTGAAAGGACAATACGCAGAAAGCCCCAGACCAAAGCCACAAACAGCAATGCCCATAAGGGCCGAAGGGAATTAGTTAAGGGAATGAAATGGTCTGGGTAATCTTGACATAGATATTATTTACTTCATAACTATTTAAAACTTATTTTTGATCACCAAAAAGTATATTCTTCCATTTTTCTTCAAACACACATGCCTTACAGGCTTATCTGTTGTTTTTCTCCCTTATAGAAACATAAGCATAACAAATATTTCTAATTTCTCCTAACTGTATAATTTTAAAAACATGCATAATGAGTATGCAGTTGCCTCCACCTCAGTGACGGGATACATAGAGAAGGTGGGTGGGGGGCTGTGATGAGCTGAAGATGGCATGCCCAGTCTAAGAGTTAGGGACCTCTCAACCCAAGCCAGTTGTTGCCATGAGGAAATGCTGGCTTAGTGTGGAGAATTTTTATAATTCAATTTTTAAAAGAGAAGCAAAAAAGTCTATATGCTTACATAAAATCTCTGATTTCTAAACATTGAACATTTCTAATGAACAAGAATTGTCTATGCCAACAAAACACATGTGTGGAGTATGTACAAAACCAAGGGCACCATTTTGAAAGCTCTTCAGGGTTTGTACAATTTTTTCTTTTTCACATTCCAGAGCACCCTCCCTCTCTTCCCACAGAACACTTACAGTTCAAAGGCAAAAGTCAGGACTTACTATGGAGCTGCTGAAGGCCACAGGAGGCTGTGAGCTTTCACGGTGCCCCATAGACCTTTGCCGGTAGTGGCCCTGGATGGGCACCCGGGCACTCTGGCTCCTCCTCAGAGGCTGAGCACCTTTTTGGCTTCTCATAGTTGCTGGATCCTGGGCCCATCTAGCCGAGAAGGACAGGCATTGGTATTGGGTCCACTCTTCACCATCTGAGTCCAGCTCCTTTGGGGTCTCCAGTCGCTTAGCTGCAAGAAAGGAGTCCTGTTATTGCACTAGTTGTACCTCGGCTGGACCATGTTGGGGAAAACCTAGACTTTGTGTGGGGGGTGGTAAGAGCATGGGAAGGGCCTATGCTACTCTGAAAAATTGGCATCTGGGCTACCAAGACTGGAGAAAGAAGGGTAAAACTAAGTCCCACAGATTCAAACTCTAGTGGACTACCTACTAGTTATGTGACTTTGAGCTTTGACATAACCTGTCACTTTATTTCCTCAGAGGTTTTTTTTTTTTTTTTTTTTTTAGGTTTCTAACTCATAGGGATGTTTTGAAGATTTAATGATACAATGTGTTAAAATAACTAGCATACTCTAAGTACTGGTAATGTGGCTCTTATTATTATTACAAAGAGACCAGAAGCTCCCATGTGAATGGTCTGCTATCACCATGGCAAAGGGGATACAGCTGCTTATAATACTCTCTCCATCTTTCTCTTTCTCCATCCCTCACACTCAAAAGAATGAATACTTCTCTCTTAAGAGTTTGTTTTCTTCAAAAAATGGGTGAAGGATATGAACAGACACTTCTCAAAAGAAGACATTTATGCAGCCAACAAACATATGAAAAAAAGCTCATCATTACTGGTCATTAGAGAAATGCAAATCAAAACCACAATGAGATAACATCTCACACCAGTGAGAATAGTGATCATTAAAATGTCAGGACACAACAGATGCTGAAGAGGATGTAGAGAAACAGGAATACTTTTACACTGTTGGTGGGAGTACAAATTAGTTCAACCATTGTGGAAGACAAAGATTCCTCAAGGATCTAGAACCAGAAATACCATTTGACCAGCAATCCCATTACTGGGTATATACCCAAAGGATTATAAATCATTCTACTAAAGACACATGCACATGTAAGTTTATTGCAGCACTGTTCACAATAGCAAAGACTTGGAACCAACCCCAGTGCCCATCAGCGATAGACTGGATAAAGAAAATGTGGCACATATACACCATGGAATATTATGCAGCCATAAAAAAGGATGAGTTCATGTCCTTTGCAGGGACACAGATGAACAGGAAACCATCAGCAAACTAACACAAGAACAGAAAACCAAATACTGCTTGTTCTCACTCATAAGTGGGAATTGAACAATGAGAACACATGGACATGGAGGGGAACATCACACACTGGAGCCCATCGGGGGGTTGGGGGCTAGGGGAGGGATAGCATTAGGAGAAATACCTAAGGTAGATGATGGGTTGGTGGGTGCTGCAAACCACCATGACACATGTATACCTATGTAACAAACCTGCACATTCTGCACATGTATCCCAGAACTTAAAGTATTGAAAAAAAAGAATTTCTTTTCTTTTCTTAGAAAGTGTGTGTGTGTGTTGTGGGGGGGTGGGGAGGGGAACGAAGTTGGGCAGATGATGGCTGAAGGAATCAGATCAGTTTTATGAGTCATATTCAGTCCATGCAAGGTAACAGTCCAGGCATTTTATAGCCCTATCTCCTAAATCAAAACTTTGCCTCAGTGACAAGCTAAGAGATCTGTTAGAATAGAAGACATCTTCTGGATGTATTAAATCTGACCATGCACCTAGACACAGACCTGCCCTGACATGTCAGGTAAGGTGGCCTGAGAAATTCCTAAGCCTTGGTTGTGTGACTGGCACACAATTGGGAAATGTCTCCAATCCATTGCTGACAGATAAAAAACTCGTCTCATAAAGTGCTTTGTCTGGCACCAGACAAAGATCAGCTGAAGGGGAACCACATATGGGATAACTTCTAACCTTTGTAAACAAATGAAAGTTTACAAGTAATTGGAACAGCCCTGATCTGTGACAAGGAAGACCACAGGGATACAGGAAGCAACTTGTGGAAATGCCACACAGCCTCTAAGAGAGCCAGGAGAATGTCTTTTATCTCCTCGTTTCTTAGGAGAGCAGGGTATTTCCTTTTAGAAAGAGGGATGGAGCCCTTGGGAGCTTCTATACCATTTTCTTGGTGAGAATACTCGCTGCCCATGATGGTGCAACGTCGGAACACCATCTTGTTCTCTGTCAGGGTCCCCGTCTTATCGGAGAAGATGTACTGGATCTGGCCCAAGTCCTCTGCGATGTTGAGGGCTCGACATTGAATGGATAAATCGGTCTCTTCATCATACAGGTCAAGGTCATTGCTCAAGAAGAACACTTGCCCGAGCTTCACCAGCTCAATGGAGACATACAAAGAGATGGGGATCAGCACCTGAAAAGAGATGAGTTTCTACCATTCAGAAACCAGGCAGGTTCCCTCCCTTGGGATCCTCACTAGCAGGTAGCAAAGGCATTTCATAGAAAGTTGAGGTCAGCTCACAGGACAGACTCTCTGTGAAATTAACGGTCAATGACCTCATGCATCCCTTGGAATTCTTAGGGGAATCTGAAAAACAGGTATGTCTTCTTTGACCAGGGATGTCTAGTCACCATTGGTTGTCTGTGACTGAGCTGGGAGGGAGTGAGAGAGACTTAGCATCTCTGTTTAGAGTCCTCTGACTCCCTTTAGATCTCTGTGCCACCAAGGGCTGCTGCCCGCTTTTATAGGTATTCAGACCTATTGTTAATTTCTCCCCACTGATTCAATATCTCATATTTACCAAGTGCTTGCTGTGCATTTGATGCTGTTCTAAGTCCTGGAAATGGGAGTTAACAGAACGTAATTCCTGGCTTTGAAGAACTTGCCTTCCAGTGACAAAGAACAAACAAATAAATATATATGAGTGGTGGTAAGTTGCATGAGGAAGAATAAAGAAAAGAGGGTAGACTGATGGCTGGGTGGGATGCTTGTAAACCATGACCTTTGAACAGAGATATGAGGAAGTCAGGGTGTGAGTTGTGAGGTTATCTGGGGGAGGAGTGTTCCGAGCAGAGGAGAAAGCCAGGCACAGGCCTGGCAGTGGGGGTGGCGTTTGGGGAGTAATAGGGAGCAGGCCTTGCAGGTGAGTGAGGAGGGGGAGAGGGCTGCGAGGGGAGGTCAGGGAGGGAGTCAGGGTCCAGATCACTTAGGGCTTCATCAGCCACAGTAAGGACTTTGGATTCCACTTTGAGTGGATATGAAACCATGAGAGGATTCTGTACATAGGAGGGGTATGATTTAATTCGCATTTAAAATAGATTACTCTGCAAGATGAATGGAAAATAATCACCAATAAGAGGGCAATGAAACATCCTCCAATACTACAAGAAATGGTAGATGGAGCTCCACAAAAGGAAAACTACAACTTCCCTCATCTTTTCATTGATTGTATTTTCTTAGAGACACGAAGGTTTTAAAATTCATCTCTTCATCAATTACTGTCTCACATTTGTCTCACTTTTTTCTTCTGTCCTATATTGGGCCAGTTCTGTTCTTTTCCTTCTCAATGTATCAAATGTTAAAACACTAACTCGTGATTTCTCTCTCTCAATGTTGGGGCAGAGAGTTCTCTGTCGCTCACTGTGCTACTTTATCTTCTTTTGTTCCTAGATCATTCATGTTTTATCTGTTCTGGCAAAGGGACAGGCACATATGGGTCACTGCTGTCATCTTAAATAGAAAAGCTAATAAATATTTCCCTCCAGCTATTATCTGGGGGCAGAGTCCCCTCCACAAGGCAGGGCTGGGTCCTTAAATCACCCAAAATGTGAATACTTTCAAAGACGCACAAGAAAGCGATGACCATCTCCTCATCTCAATCCAGTTTGTACTTTCTAGTGGCCAGCACTGTTTTTTCTTTATTTTACAAAGTTGTAGGAGTTTTGGCCACATATCTTATTGGGCCCCTAGTTAGGGAGGGCTTCCTACCTGGAGCAGGATGATCATTGTGAGGAACATGTAGAAGCCCCCAAGGGCACTGGGAAGGAAGCTGCCATTGGCATCTGGCACATCGAAGGGAGGGTGTTCTTCAAAGGTCCCATTCCAGATGCTGTGACCTGAGAGGAGGCAAAACCAGGAATGAGGCTGAATCTCTACTAAGTCCTAAAGTTGGTCAATTATACCAGCCCTTGACACATTCCTAGAAATGGGTGTGCTTTGGAGGACCCCTCCTTCTTCCATACAATGTAGCTCTGTGTGTGTGTGTGTTTGTGTATGTGCATGTGTTCATGTTGCTCTAAAGTGGTTCTTCGTATACATTTCAATCCTTTGATAGGCATTAAGTTTGTTTTACAAGAGGAGATTGGCATGAGGATTACTTCTGTTTTGATTAAGTCTTGTTAAATAGGGGCTGGAAAGAGAGAAAGAAATACTTGTTCTTTTTTGTTCTGTGGTGCACACTTTTGTGCATGGGTAGGGAGCCTTGAGACCTGTCCCCTAGTCTTCCCCTTCTTATCCCATCTAATGCCCATCTACCCATCCATCCTGCCATTAATCAATTTTTCTATCCATTTATCTATCCATTCATCCATCCATCCACCTACCCATCTACTCACCCGTCCATCCACCCATCCATCAATTCTTCCATCCACCCACTCATATACCCACCCTTCCTTCCTTCCTTCCATTTATCCATCCATCCTTCCATTCATCCATTTTTCTATAGATTCATCTATTCATTCATCCATCCACCCATCTACTCACCCATCTATCCATCCATCAATCCCTCCATCCACCCACCCACCCATCCATCAATCCATCCATCTATCCATCCATCCATCCATCCATGAATCCATCCATCCATCCATCCATCCATCCATCCATCTTTCTATCCATTCACCCATCCATCCACCCATCTACTCACCCATCTATCCATCTATCCATCCATCCATCCATCCATCTGTCCATCCATTTATCCTTCTATTCATCAGTTTTTCTATCCATTCATCTATCTATTCATCCATCTACCCACCCACCCATTCATCCATTCATCCATCCATATACTCCATATACTCACCCATTTATCCATCCATCCATCCACCCTCCTACCCACCTACTTACCCATCCATCCATTTATCCATCCATCCATTCATCCATCCATCCATCTATGTTTACCCATTCATCCCTCCCTCTGTCTGACATTGATTAATTCAAGAAGTTAGTACTAATTCTTGTCATTGTGGAGTTTGCTTCCAAATTAGGGAGCCAGGCATAAAAGGACAAATCACATACAGTATGAGAGGTGCAATAGCAGAGCCTAGAATGCTGTGACAGCCCATAGCAACAGCACCAGGTACAGACTGAACTCTGTTTCCTTATCTGCAAAGGAGATAACAACACGCATTATCTGAGGATTATGTAAGGTGAAGTGCATCCAGCACCTGTTATAGAGCTCACTAAATCTCAGTGTTCTTGTCTGTTAAATAGTAATAATACCTTCTCTATAGAGTTATTGTGAAAATAGAATAATCTAATGTTTAAAATGCTCTCAGCTCCAAGAAGTATAGAGAATAAAAGGCATAGAGGATGTTGCAATGCCTAAAGATGCTTCCTTGCCCAGGAGTTTGGGCCAAATGCCGTCATACCTAACAGAAGAAAGGAAACTTACAGACATGAAGCTATTTATGTGAAGGTACTGTTATAAAGCAGATGACTAAGGACAAAACACATGGCACAGAGTAAGGGCCACTGGCCTTTAAGGGAATAAGACAAGTATGGGAAAAGCCCGAGAAGGCTGAATGGATGAGGAGGACTTGAGGGGGTCCTGGAGCCCCAGCACGTGTTGGATGGTCAGGAGGGCCAGGGCAGAGTATTCTGGTGAGGAAAGAAGAAACACCACCTTTACAAAATCAAAGTAAACATGTGGTCAAGAACTGTGGAATGGTGCTCATTTGAGAGCTTTCATCTTCTGTAGGGCTGTGCTTTAATTAGGCATCATCAGAGTCCTGTGTATGAGTTGTTAATTCAGAATAGAATTCTGACCCTCCTCATGAACTTTCTTCATTTCTTTATTGTTTTGGGGAATCTGCCAAGCAGATTCTGGTTTCCCTGTGCCTTATCTTGTCCTGTGACCTTTTAATCATTAACTTTCTTTTTCTGGAGACACAGTGAGATGATCTCAAATGTCTTTTTCACGCTGATATGCCCTGAAAAACCTGTCCTGAAGCAGAAACAACAGTTCCTGCAGCATCTTGGGGACACAGGTGGCCAAATGGGCTGGGGAGAGGGTGGGAGCGGGGACAATGGCTTTCTTGTTTCCCTGCTTCCCCTCCCCCAGGTGCTCTCCTTACAGCTGTGAGCCAGCCTCAAGTGGAGTGCTATTAGACATACCTGGGAACTCCAGGCCACCCACAAGACTCAATCCCATCTTCATCACTGTAGTGGCACACAAAGTCTCTCTGAGCCCCTATGAAGCTCTCAGCCTTTCAGACACCATCTTTCTAACAACAGCAATGGCTACGATTTCTGACTAATGCAAGTAAACAGCAAACACCACTGCTGCTCATTGGTTTCGGGTCTGCATATTTCTGGACTCAGGACATGAGTTTTTCTCTTGATTGTCCCTGGTTCTTTCTGAGATCTCCTTTAGCATCCTGAGAATCATTTTTAGAATAAGGCCATAGACAGTGGGGAGTCTTGGCCCCTCTTTATCTACACTCTGAGGATCAACTTAAAGGGCTCCAGATCACTCCTGTCTCCACCTCTCATGGTGCTCCTCACTCAGCTCGGGCCACAGACTGGCTCAGCTTTGGTCTCCATTCTTGGCCTTACTCTTGCCACATCCAACAGCCAACTGCTCCTCTGCACAAAACCATTTTCCTTCCTGCCTCTGTGCTTTGTGATTTTCCTGGGGCTAAGAGTGGCCTCTCTCTTTCTGCTCACAGCTGCCTGCCACATCCAGCCCCTACACTTGGCTCTGCCATCCTCCTCCTCTGGCAAATGTCTACTCCACTTGAGAATCAGCTTTAGCAGCTACCTCTTCAAGAAAGACTTTCCTCATTGCTGCTCCCATAATATCTGTGGTAAGGTGAATAATACCCCCTCTCTCCCCAGGATATATCCTAATCCTTGGGGCCCTATGAATACACTATCTTATATGGCCAAAGGGCTTTGCAGATAGGATTAGGTCATAGATCTTGAGATGGGAAGAGTATCTCGATTATGAAGGTGGGCCCAATGATGTAATCACAGGTGTCTTGTAAAAGGCAGGGAGAGCTACTGCTGCAGATGAGGAGAGGAAAATGTAGGCAGAGATTGGGGTGGTGCACTCTGAAGACTGAGGAAGGAACCACAGACTAAGGACTATAGGCAGCCACTAGAAACGGAAAAAGACAAGGAATAGAGCCTTCCTTCAGAGCCTCTAGGAGGAACCAGAACTGCCGATGCCCTGACTTTAACGCAGTGGTCTGCAACATTTTTGGTATCAGTGGCTGGTTTTGCGGAAGACAATTTTTCCACAGTCAGTGGGGAGGGGGAGATGGTTTCAGGGGTTTCAGGATGATTCAAGTGCATTATATTTACAGTGCACTTTATTTCTATTATTACATTGTAATATATAATAAAATAATTATACAACTTACCATAGTGGAATCAGTGGGAGCCCTGAGCTTATTTTTTTGCAACTATATGGTCCCATGTAGGGATAATGGGAGACAGCAACAGATCATCAAGCATTTGATTCTCATAAGAAGCACACAACCTAGATCCCTTGCATGTGCAGTTCACAATAGGTTTTGCACTCCTGTGAGAATCTAATGCCACCACTGATCTGACAGGAGGTACTGGCCCTTGGCCCAGGGGTTTGAGACTCCTGCCTTAACCTACTGAAATTGATTTTGAACTTCTGATCTCCAGAGCTGTAACAGAATAAATTTGTGTTGTTCTAAATGACTGTGTGTTCATGTTTTACAGCAGCAATGGGAAACAAATACAGTCTGATTCGTCTTGTTTTCATTCCATGCTACGAGAGTGCCTGTGTTCAGTAAATATTTCTTGACCAAATAAATATCAGATGATATTCTGAATAGTTAAAGAACACATACTACTTTTAGGAGATTTTCTCTTGCATTTTCATTTCATTGGCATCCCGTTAAAGTGGGCAGGGTAGGCTTTACATTTTATTAGCCCTACTTTATAAATGAGGAAGCTGAAGAAACTTGCCCAAATAAATCGATTACTGTGTCCTTGTTCTTTCCAGAACATCCCATACCTACAGCTCCAATAAGGCACATGAGGATGAGGATCCCAATGCAGAAGAAGATGTCTATATTCATGCGCCGCTCAATCTTGCTGCGTTTGTACCGGGGGCCACTGTTGTTCAGCATGGCTTTCGTCTCATGGCCTTTGAGAGAAAATGAGGAAATCAGTCCCTTAGTTCCTGTTTGCCTATGTCTTACACCATTCCCTCAGCTCTTCTCACAGGAGCTTAAGATAAAAGAGAGGCTTCACTCTTTAACCTGAACTTGCCCCGCCTCAGAAGGTTGCTGAGAACAGCTGTAGGGGCCTCACATAATTTACCAGCAGGCACTCAGTGAGCATCCCCTTCATGCATGCCAGACACTGTGGTGGGCACTGAGAGAGCTCCCATGCACAGGCTATGCCCTGTACAACTTTAGAGCGTAGCCCTCATTCTGTAGTTGCCAAAGATTTATAAGTTTATTATGGACAGAGTTCTGGCAAATGATAGTAAGCTGTCTTAAAGAAGGGCTGTCTTTTCCTAATTTGCACAAAGGTTCTGTTCCACCTGTTATGGGCTAGCAGTGGGATACAATGGCAAGACATAGGGTTCACATTCTATTGAAGATATACAAGAAGACAGAAGGGATAATTATCATTATTAATAAGTCCTATGAAATAAATAATATACAGTAAACAAAAGGCCAAGGTGGAAAAGAGGTGGTGTTGGAGAGCCTGCTCAGGGAAAGCTGCTCCAAGGAGATGACATTGAAGGGAGGCCTGAAGGGAAAGCAGAGTTGGCAGCAGAGTTTTAGGCTGGGGAACTGTATATGCAAAAGCCCTGTGGTAGGACAGTGCCTGGGACCAGCAGTTTCCCTATTTGTTTCTTTGGTCATGCCTAAGTTGTTGGTGTTGCCTGAGCAAGAGTAGTAGGGACCAAAGGTCCCCACCCCAGCACTAACCCTGGGCAGCTCCACTCCTATGTTGAAGTTTTGCATACAATTTTGGTTAAAGAAAGGATGACAAAGTTTGAAAACTACCAATCTCACCCAGTCACCTTCTTCTCCAGTAGGGGAAGCTGAGGGCTAGAGGGTAAAAAGGATCTGCCCAAAGTGAAAGAATAAGTCAATGTCAGAGTCACATTGTGAACCCAAGATTCAGATTGCCAGTGTAGTTCTCCTTTCACCAACCCCTGGGACCCAAGATCACACACCTAAGAGCTAAGAGTCAAACTGAGACTTTGTCTTTAGACAGAGCCTCTCCTTTGGGGCTGCTGAATGTTAACTACAGTGCCATACTCCTCAGCAGTCAAATGAAAAACACATCAGTTGCATATTTTCTGTGCAAAATTGAAGAAAACCAATACATCAGCTCCAGAAGCAAACGGCTTTTATGCTGTTTAGCTGGTTGTCTTGTGGATTTAAAGTAGCAACAAAACAGTAGGAGCAAAAAAACTCTAGGCTTTTAAAATTAGACTCAAGTTGCTGCAGTTGTGAGCAGGGGTTCCAGCAGTACTCCTGGGCCTGTAGAATTTCTGCCTGCCTCTCAGCCTCACTCCATTCAGGGATCCTGGGACTATCCCCTTCACCCACCTGATCCTTGCCTTCTGAGACCCCTCTGTTCTTTTGGAAAGAGTTGGGTTCAAGGGGAGGAAGTATGGGGCAGTGGATAAGAGTGTGGGCTCTAGAGTCGGAGCTCAGCTCTGTGGATACTTGACCTTGGGTTGCATAGAGTTCAACTCAGGAGGCATGTGACTTTGGGTGAGTGATCCTCTTTGTACTTCAATTCCTCATCTAAAAAATGGGAGATGATTGTGGTGTATGAAGTGGGAAAATAAATCAATACACACAAAGTACTAAATTAGTTTCTGGTAAGTTGGGACTCAGTGTTTGCTGTGAGGAGCACACACCTCTACATTGGACCTCTTTCTTCTGTAAATCTCACCTTGGCCTTTTTGGGCCTTTGACTCTGAGGCCCTGTTTTACCCGTTGATAATGTCAAGGGTGAAATGAGAATTCTGGACCATTGCTCTCACCAGGAGTGATTTTACTCCCCAGAGGACATTTGGCAACGTCTTGAGAAATTTGGGTTATCTCACTTGGTGGGGGGTGCTAATGCATCTTGTGGGTAGAGGCCAGAGATGCTGCTAAATACCCTACAGGACAGCCCCCGTCACAAAGAATAATATGGGCCAAAATGTCAATGGTGCCAAAGGTGAGAACCCCAGCTCTAGATAATAATGTTAAAAACAACTGGTATCTTCTTTCTCATAGTTTTGCGGGCCTGATGTATTCCAACTGTCGTATTAGGCCCTTTTCACAGATAATCTCATTCTAACATTATAAAGCTACAAGGTAGAAACTATTAGTCCCTCTTGCACTGAAAGTTCAACCATCCTGTTCAGGAACATGCAGAATATGAATGGATTTTACCCATAGGCAGCCCGACTAGCTGGAGCCATGGTTAACACTCCATATCTGCCACCTTATATACCACTCCCATCACCTACTCAAGGTTTCTTCTTTATTTCTGTTCAGGCAGAGAAGCAAAGCTCTAAATCTATGTGATTATGATTACCATTTTCTTTTTTGGTACAGTGGAGATTGCTGGAGAGTTCATTTTTAATAGGTTTACCAGATGGTGTTGAACTCCATTGCTAAAGATCTTCGAAATAAGTCATCTGAACTGACAAATATAATCCCCCTCTCCCAAATTAGGGAAAGCTAGCTAAATCGTGACATTATGTTTAAAAAGACCTGTTTTTCTTTGACAATCCCAAAGAGTAAATCTTATGGTAGATGGATATTTAAATGCTTTTCTATGTCCATCAGAAGTGGGGTTCTATGGAGACCAAACCAAACAAAAAAGCAATAAGCAAACTATTCCAAAGTGTCCCAGTGAGTGGAAGACTCAGAAGAAAACACATTCTGGAGTTTTCCAGCAAAGGTAGATGCTCCAGAGAGACCATGTTTCCTCTGTTGTGGCTGAAGTCTTCAGGTGTTCATGTAACAACAGGTGCGTTGCGTACCTACGAGCACTGGTGTTAAGTACTAGAGATACAGCAGCTCCAAGATTGCCCTCCAAGACTTTAGATTCCATTGTGAGAAGCGCTGCTATTATCTTTTTTCATTGGAAAGCAGGATCAAAGTGGGAAGGAGAGATAGGCCTCCATATATGGAGCCATAAAATAAATAAAGGTAATAGTAAAAACATAACTGCAAAAACAACTAAAACCCACTGAGCCCTCTCTTTGCTATAGGCAGTGCTGGATGCTTTTCATGTGCTGAGTAATTTGATCCTTACAAACACTCTATGAGGCAGATACAAATATTCTCCCCACTGTACAAATGAGGAAATTGAGGCTCCAAAGGGGAAGTTGTTAAGTTTGGTGAGGTTATTCCACAGGCTTAAGAAGATACACTTCATTCTGGCTTTAGTTAGTAGCACAAAACCACCGGGATGATTGAGTGTGAATCCCTTTCCCTATCTAGTGCAGATGGGTGATATTAACTTGGAATCTCATCATGTCTCCTGTAGAGTGAGTGAACTGCTGTGATTCCCAGCCTCCGTTTGCTTAGTTGAGAAATGGGAAGTTACATGAGTAAATGGGAAGTTACTGTGAACAGTTGTTGGTTCCCATTGACTGAAGATGGATTTGGAGGGGGAAGGATAAAGGAAAATTCAGACAAAAGAAACTACCCAGACAATGACCTGCATAGATGACAATGCCAACAGCCATCTCGGTGTTTCTGATGGTGCAGCCTCGAAGCAGAAGACTCTCACAGCCAAAGCCAGTCCTGGTCTGGTCAGGATGCTCCCTGGGGATGATGAATAAAAGACAGGGGGTGGTTTGGTGGCCTTTCCTTGCTGTCACTGGGTACTGTCACAGAACTAGAAGTGGTGAGTGAACATGATCCCTCTCCTCCCTGTTTTTTCAGAAGAGTGATGGTAGCTGAGAATCTAATCTCCTTCATGTTCAAGGGTAGATCTCTTTTTTGCTCCTAGGAGGCCTGGGTGGGAGCTAGACCATTAGAAGGGAATTGTCCACCCTGAGAAAATTGTCCCATTTACCAACATAAAAGGCAGAACTCTGGTGAAAAAGCCTTGGCTTCAATTCTCATATTCAAAATGTTTTTATGCAGGTTGCAGCAAAGAAGTCAGCCAAAACCCACCAAAACCAAGATGGTGATGAGAGTGACCTCTGGTTGTCCTCACTGTTACACTCCCACCAGAGCCATGACAGTTTACAGATGCCATGGCAACGTCAGGAAGTTACCCTATATGGTTTAAAAAGGGGAGAAACCTTCAGCTCTGGGAATTATCCATGCCTGTCCCAGGAAACTCATGAATAATCCACCCTTTGTTTAGCATATAATCAAGAAACACCCATAAAAATGGGCAACCAGTAGGGCCGGGTGCAGTGGCTCAAGCCTGTAATCTCAGCACTTTGGGAGGCCGAGGCAGGTGGATCATGAGGTCAGGAGTTCGAGACCAGCCTGGCCAACATGGTGAAACCCCGTCTCTACTAAAAATACAAAAAATTAGTCAGGCATGGTGGCAGGTGCCTGTAATCCCAGCTACTTGGGAGGCTGAGGCAGGAGAATCGCTTGAACCCGGGAGGCGGAGGTTGCCGTGAGCCAAGATTGCTCCTTTGCACTCCAGCCTGGGCTACGGGGCAAGACTCCATCTTAAAAAAAAAAAAAAAAAAGGGCAAGGGGCTGTTCTGCTATGGAGTTACCCTTCTTTTATCCCTTTCTTAATAAACTTCCTGTCACTTTAAAAAACAAATAAGCAAACAAAAGTGCAAGGGAACTGGCTTCTGGCCTTACAAGGACTGGCAGTGTTCACATGCTCATTGTCATTCAGCTTCTGGGGACCTGAACTGCAGAAGGTGAACTTCCAAGGGGAGCCTCCAGGTAGTCTTGCTTTTCATACAGGGGACAGGGGACAGGTAAGAATGGTAAAGTAAGGAAGGGCAGGTCATGGGTTCCTCTCGTTCCGAGCCACATCACTCACTCGGCCTCTTTCCTGTACCAGCTTTCACCTGCTCAACAGCTCATAAAATAGACCTCACAGGAGTGGCCCTTTGCCCAAATTATTGGGAGGCAGATCCTAAAAGTAGAGATAGTTTCTTCTTTCTTCTAGTCCAGGGAGCATTGCAGTTTTCCACCTCACACTAGAAACTTCTGAGTCCAATCAACTCTAGTTATGACCTGGGGTCTGGCCTTTACTCTATCCTGATGCCGTTCCTTTGAGATTTTCAGCAAGCTTAAATATAACTTTCCAAACCTATTTGGGAGAACAAAAAAATAATAATCCGAACTCTTAGAGCTCTTTTTTAAACGTGTTGTTCTTCAATACTTCTTATCGCTAAGTCCAGTTATAAGCCTTTTTCACTGAAGCCTCATGACAACCTTATAAGACAGGGCTTATTATCATACCCACTTTACAGATAGGGAAACTGAGGCAAGTTCATAAAGCCAGGAAGTGGCAGAATGGGGATTCAAAACTAGTCTGGCCCCAGAGTGCTATACTGCCACTCAATATGCCTTTTAATGCTAATGATTCCTCACTGTGTTTATAAACTACATTTACTTACATGATTTTGTTTGACTCTTTGTGGTCTGGGAAGTTAGTAGGATGATTATTTTTATTTATGAAAAAGTAGAAGCTCAGAGTGGCTGAGATTTTTCCAAGGCTATACAACTAGTACATGAGACATCCTAAGACCAGGGAATCTAGGTCACAGACACCCACCCTACTGAGATTTTCACTACCTTAGGGTACCTAAAGTACTACCCCACTCACCCACACTAAATCAGAGTCATTTCTATTTTCACTTCTGCTGAATATGTCAAGGAGGATGTTTCATTTCTTGCTAGTATGTTCTTGACCCTATTCTAATGTTTGTCTATCCTACTTTTTAAAGCAAAGGATGCTATGGCAAATAATAGTTAGAATATAACTGTTTTGATTTCATTGTATTAATTTTTACCTCTTAAGTATAGTAAGTGATCCTGGTTTCCCATAGGGCCCAGTGATATAAATTTTCCTTTTCAAATAAATTTTGGAAAAAGTAAGGTAATTAAAAATCTGGTAGATAAAATAGATTTTACTGAATATGATAAAAATCATAAAGGTGGTCTAAGAATGTCTGAGGTTCAGGACCCACCATTGCTCCTTCTGTTTATTAAGGAGGAGGCTGGCTGTGGATTTAATACTGGGCTAATGAACCTTGCTTGTCTCACTGTCAGTAGCTTGTGGTTTCAAGAATAATTTTAGGATGTTCTGAAGTGATAGCATATGAGAGAGGCTTCTACTTCTCTCGGTTGTAATGTTCCTTTTCAAAGAATGGTAGAAAAGGATTTGCTATCTTATAGCTGTTGTCTATTTAGCGCTCTTGGTTTACAAGGATGGTCTATTATACTTTTTATAGGCCAGCATTTCTCAACCTTGGTGTTATGAACATTTTGGACTACACAATTCTCTGCTGGGGTGGGGGGCTGTCCTGTGCATTGTAGCATCCCTGGCCCCTACCCAGTGGATGCCAACAGCACCCCTCCCCAGTTGTGGCAAGAAAAATGATTCTAGACATTGTCAAATGTCTCCTGGTTGGAGGGGTGGTTTTGTTGTTGGTGGTGATTGTCCCTGGTTGAGAACCACTGCTCTGTAGAGATTCTTTCATTCAAAAGTCGCATTTTCAAATTGGACACCCTAACTTTCAAACAGATCATTGAAAGCTGTTGATCTTCTAGCCAGCCTGTGCAGCCTCAGGGAGCTTCTAAATTAACGGAACCCACAGAAGCTTCTGGGAAACCCAGAGGCATCAGACCAGTGGGTCTGCTCAGGAAGAAGGTGGAGACCATCTGTGGGTGCCAGGCCTGAGGGTGTTCTTGCTGAGTACAGCAAGGATGTAGGAGCACAGCAAGGAATTCTCCTTCATTCCATGGGTTAGCTACTCCGCAGTCCAACTGGACTTTTAGGACTCATCCATGAGGCCCAGTCATGTGGAGGAAGGACAGGTCTCCCAGAGCAGCAACTAGGAAGAGGAGGTGCTGGGGGCTGAGTGAAGCTGGGAGAGTTCTGTCCTGAAATCCGTCTGAGAGGGGCAGGCTGGAGCAGGTTGAAAGCTGAGAAAGGCTGGCTGTTAGCCTGAGCTGTTCTGGGGAGAAAGGGTCCTAAACAGAAATCTAACAATGAGGCTGTTCTCTAAGAGGATATGGAGAGTGACTCAAGGCGTGAGGGATTTGGGATGAATCAAGTTCACAAACCTAAGGCACAAGGGGCGCCCTTCTCTTCAGAGCAGGTGACAGGCTTTACCTCCTTTGCAGCAAAGGCCTTTTCCCCAGGACCTCAGGCCCTTCTCTGCTTGTCTCCTTCTGCTCGCTCTGTGTATTTTAAAAGTAATTTGCCTATAAAAGCTATGGTTTCTCTGGTATTCTTCTTATTGTTTCTCCTTTCTATTTCTCCTCATTATATCCCTCATGGCCTGAGGACATGTGGGTGGAAGAAAGCAAAGACAACTGCATTTCAGGGAGCTGCAGGCCCTATTGGTGGAGAAATTGGTGTAACATGGCTGAGCTCCGCAATGTACGGCTATGGAAAGCACACTGGGGTTGGAGTCAAAAGACCCCCATATAAGTCCTGGCTTTGTCTTGTTCCTGCTGTGAGTTAGGGAGAATCTTTGCATCTATAAAGTCTCAGATCATCATAATCCACATCACGATATTCGCTTTCTGGGGTTGTTGTGAAGATTACACATGACAATGTTCTCTAGAAGTCCTCTGAAAACTGTTATAGCAAGCTTGTCCAACCCATGGCCCACATGTGGCCCAGGGTGGCTTTGAACATGGCCCAACACAAATTCATAAACTTTCTTAAAACATTATGAGATTATTATTATTATTACTACTTAGCTCATCAGCTATTGTTAGGGTTAGTGTATTTTATGTGTGGCCCAAGACAATTCTTCCAATGTGGCCCAGGGAAGCCAGAAGTTTGGACACCCCTGTAGAAAAGCATCGTATAAGGGCATTTACTCACATCTGTTACTATGGCTCTTATTTTGTGGGAAGACTAGTGGTCTGATAAGGGAGCAGAATTGCAGTAAAATGCTTAGGCTGAACCAAAGTTGAGGAATAAGAATAACAATTATCCTAATAGCAGGAGCCACTGTTAATTGAATATTTCCTCTCTGCCAGTTGCTGTGCTAAGGGCTTTGTGTATGCTGACAATCTTAGAAAAGAAAAACCCTTTGATATAGATATTATAATTTTATTTTATGGATGTGGAAACAGGCTCAGAGAGGTGAATTAATTTACCCAAGGTCATACAGCTTGTAATTTGCAGAACCCCGATTCAAACCCAGATCTGTCCAATTCCAAAGTCCCTGTTCTTACCTACAATGCAATATAGGCACTTAAAAAATTGATCTTAATTAAATCATATTCACCTTCCTGAATCAGAGCACAATCTTGATTTTGATGCTATTTTACTAAGGTTTTTTTTTTTTTTTTTAACAACATTGGTGAATTTAACCCTGCAACATAAATAACTATCACTCAGCAAAAAAAAAAAAATAGAAAAAGTTTCCCAATTTAAATTTCTCTAGTCCCTCTTTATCACACACACACAAATAAAATTCCTCAGGATGAAGATGCTTATTTGTTTGGTCATTTCTAGACAATATATTTTCTAGCTGCAGCGGAGATATTTACTAGCAGCATGGGACATGAGATACTTACATATAACCCTTAAATTTGTTGAGGTGGTTGTTGGGTTTCTCACACACGATGGTATTGTGGAAAAGCTCTGGTTCGAACTGTACCTCCTGTGAGAGAGAGGACTCTGTGAGTTTATTAATTCAGAGGGATCTAGTTTTAATAGGATCACTGGGAGAGCTAATCACTGTTAGAACCATTGCAAATAAGGTAATCCATGCTTTGTCACACTTTGATAGTTGTAATGTGTCAGAAAAAAAAGTTAAGTCCTCATTAAGGAAGAGAAAGCAAATGCCAGTGAAAAGTTTGATGCAGGGCAGAGGGAGGTGATTACCCTGATTGCATTTCTCTGACCTGCCTGGGTGTGGGGCTGTAGCCCAGATCTAATAGAACTTACTGCAATGATGGAATGTTCTGAGTCTGCATTGTGCAGTATGGAAGCCACTAATCACATGTGTCTATTTAGCATTTGAAGTGTGGTAGTTTGACTAAGGAATTGTTTTCTTAAAAAATTTAATTTGATTTTAATTAAGCTTAAATAGCTACATGTGGCTAGTGGTTATCACATTCGATACCACAGAAATAGATAATTAAAAAGAAGGCATTATAAATCACACCACATAGAGATATCCACAGCTAAAATGCTTGCGCATGTAATATTTCCAGGGTTTTAAATATATATATCCATTAGCCAGGCATGGTGGCTCACACCTGTAATCCCAGCACTTTGGGAGGCTGAGGCAGGCAGATCACCTGAGGTCAGGAGATCGAGACCAGCCTGGTGAAACCCCGTCTCTACTAAAAATACAAAAATTAGCCAGGCATGGTGGTGTGTGCCTCTAATCTCAGCTACTCGGGAGGCTGAGGCACGAAAATCACTTGAACCTGGGAGGTGGAGGTTGCAGTGAGCCAAGATCGCGCCACTGCACTCTAGCCTGGCAGAGCAAGACTCTGTCTCAAAAAAAAAAATTTTATATATATATATATACACACACACACACATACATATATATACATATATATACATACATATATATATACATGTACACACACACATACACACATATGTACATATACACACATATATATATCTCCACACCCACATATATTTGTGTAGGTATATACATGTGTATTTACACATTTTAACAACGAGATTCAGTGTTCATTACAACTGTCCCAGCACTGAGTAGCTAGATTAAACATTAAAAGCTGATTGAGCCAGTGTCCTTATACAATGGCTGGAATGTAACAAAGATCCCACCAAGGTTGCCTAGGCTTTTCCTGGGACTTGAAGCATGAGAGGATAATGAAGGAATTCTTATCAGGACCCTTTTCAGGATGAAATAAGTTTAATTGGTGGTCTGAAGAAACTCCCCAGGCCTCCACAAACAAGTTTAATGGTGTCTAAAGGAACTCCCCAAATCCTTATGATTTGTCAGGAGACAAGATAAAGTAATCACCTCAGCACCTAGACTCATTTAGATTAATTAAACTTACTGAGGCTCCAGAAGTAGGTCTTCAGGACCCAGACCTTAGTTATAGATTAAAAGAAGTTAATCACTTATGTCTTCAGATGAATGCACACTTACACGTAGGCATATAGCTTAGAAGGTATATAAACTCTGGAAAACTTTGTAACTTTGAGTTGGTCTGGCAATAACTTCCAGGCCTTCTCCCTGTAACTGGTTAGAGAAATAAAAACTCTCTTCCTCCCCAATTCATCTGCATCTTGTTATTGGGCCACGAGAAATAGCAGCCCAACCCTCAGTTTGGTCCAGGAGCAAAATTGACCATATTTCCTTTAATCGTTTCACCATTTAATAGGTATAGTGTTTCAATTTGTTTTGCTGTTATAAAAATGCTGTGAAAATAGTAGCTAATAGAGCAAAATAAATAGCATTTACTGGACACTTATTTCTGCCAGACACTGTAATAAGAACTTTATTATTTATTTTCAAGCTTACCGTCATTCTATGAAGTAGGAGCTTTAATTTGCCTTTCTTTAGAGATGGGAAATCTGTGACTGAAAGGTAAAGAAGGCTCCCCATGGTCAAACCTATTTAAATCTCATGGGCTGGGATTTTAATTCAAGTTCACCTGCAGACCCTCTACTCCTTACTTACTCAGCACATTGCTTCCTGGTGAACAGTCTTGTAGCTAAGTATTTTTTTTAAAGGCATTTCTGTTGTACAAACTCTTTTAGTCCAATGGGGATGAAACACAACTTGAGGTGGGGAGATCTTGCTTTCTGACTCTCCTCTACATTGACTAATCCTACGTTCAACTCATGAGCCTTCGTTTCTTCATCTGTAGAATGGGGCTAACATCACCTGCCCTGCCCATCTTAATTGTGCCTCAAAAAACAGAATCTATGTGTTAAAGTGTTGAAACATGTAACATTCCACCCAAACAGAAGGCAGCAGTGGTAAAGGTGGGATTGGAGATGGTTTCCTGGGTAGAGCTTTTAGCAAAGGGCGTGAGTTTATCACTGAAAGCTTCAAGGTACAGCTGTTCAAAGGGGTAAATTGATTAAAAGAAATGATAGCATTTTCTGGCTTCGTGTAAATATACTGTCCATTGGATTTGAGGGGGTGCCAACATAAATAAACTCTCTACTCACTTGAAATAAATTACCCATCCAGGAGTTTCTAAAAATATGGCCCTTTTCCCTCCAGGTATTGATTCTTTCAGGGACAAACACTTGCTGAGCTCCAAGATGATGACAAATCATGCTGTAATTTGTCAGCTGCTTTCATGCCCCTGATTAAGTCATGTGCTTCACTCCTGATCCACACCACTCAGCTCAGTGGTGGGTCTCTAAATCCAAACTCATTTCAGATATGACTGGCAGTGGGGTCTGAGCACTAATGATCCTTCTGTAATGCCTCGGAGTCCCTGCTGCCTGTTTAATCACACCTGCCGGGCCCCAGCAATGGTGAAGTTTGACTCTTGTTCCTCTGTTGGGGCTTCCTAGCCACCTCCCTCCTGAAATGTCCCTTCCTCCTGCTGTGTCTCCTTTCCTGCTGAGCACAGGACTTTTGTCCCCATCTTCCTCTTTTCATGAAAAGGTGACCCTGCTCTTTCTAGCTACTTGTCCCCTGGGCTCTCTTCTTCAGTTGGAGGAAGAGGGGCTGTGGAGAGGGGCATATGGGTCCTGCTGGCTGCAAAGACAACCACTGAGGCCCTGCTTGCTTTTAAGAATTTGCTGTATTTCCCTCCAGGGCAGCTGCTGGGCCAGCTCAAGACACAGAGAACTGCTGAGCCTTACAAACCTGTCAGGGTTCTTATTTATTTATTTATTTATTTATTTATTTATTTATTTATTTATTCGAGACAGGGTCTCACTCTGTCACCCAGGCTGCAGTGCAGTGGTGCGATCACAGCTCACTGTAGCCTCGACTTCCCGGGTTCAAACAATCTTCCCACCTCAGCCTCCTGAGTAGCTGGGACTACAGGCGTGCACCACCAGACCTGACGAATTTTATATTTTATAAAATAAAATTATATATGTATATATTATATATACATATATAAATACATATGTATAAATAATATATACATATATAATTTATATATAATATATACATATATTTATGTACTATACATGTACATATTATATACATAAATATAAATATATATAAAAATATATAATATATTATATAATATATTATATATTAATTATATATAATATATATTATAAAAAGATTATAAATTATATATAATATATATAATATATATATAATTATATAATATATTATATATACATGTATATATAATATATTATATATACATGTATATATAATATATTATATATACATGTATATATAATATATACATACATATTTATATTTATATATTATATATATTTATATTATATATTTATATATTTATATTTATGTATATAATTATGTATATATTTATGTATATATAGTGTATATATTATATATACACGTGTATATATAACATATACATGTATATATTATGTATACATAAATATATATTATAAATACATAATATATATTATATATACAATATATTATATATACAATATATTATATACTATATATCATATATACATACAAATATGTAGTATATATACATACGTAGTATATATACATACGTACATACATACATAGGTAGTATATATACATACGTACATACATACATAGGTAGTATATATACATACGTACATACATACATAGGTAGTATATATACATACGTACATACATACATAGGTAGTATATATACATACGTACATACATACATAGGTAGTATATATACATATGTACATACATACATAGGTAGTATATATACATATGTACATACATACATAGGTAGTATATATACATATGTACATATATACATAGGTAGTATATATACATATATTACATATACATACATACATATATACATATATATTACATATACATATATACATATATACATATATACATATATACATATATACATATATATTATATATACATATATACATATATATTATATATACATATATACATATATATTATATATACATATATACATATATACATATACAATATATACATATATACATATATATTATATATACATATATTACATATACATAAATATATATAATATATACATATATACATATATATTATATAGACGTATATACATATATATTATATAGACGTATATACATATATATTATATATACATATATAAATATATATTAATATACGTATATACATATATAAATATATGTAGTATATACGTATATACATATATAAATATGTTGTATATACGTATATACATATATAAATATATGTTGTATATACGTATATACATATATAAATATATGTTGTATATACGTATATACATATATAAATATATGTTGTATATACGTATATACATATATAAATATATGTTGTATATACGTATATACATATAAATATATGTTGTATATACGTATATACATATATAAATACGTGTGTGTGTGTGTATGTATATGTTATAGAGATGGGGGTCTTACTCTGTTGCCTAGGATGGTCTCAAACTCCTGAGCTTAAGCGAGCCTCCTGCCTCAACCTCCCACAGTGCTGGGATTACAGGTGTAAGCCATCGTGCCTGGCCAGGGTTCTTATTTTAACCTTGTTCAGGAGTTTCTGATTCCCTTGTGAGACGGTGTAATGTCCTCTCACTACCCTGTAGTTTTTCTTAGATTATGGAAGCAGCTCGCCTAACTGGACACTTCTTCTTGACCCAGCCTTTTATCTAAGGCACTGCCCTTTGATGAAAGTCTTGCTTTCCAGCAAAAGGCCTAGGGAGCCATTAAGACACAGGAAAAGACCAATCCTTTCCAGAGAAGAGTGTGTGTCTCTGCAGCTCTTTAGGTCAGACCTACCTATCTGGAGCACTTACTATGTGCCAGACACCTGTCATAAAGTTCTCACAAAAACCTTAAGAGGTTTGGACAGACATGCAGATGGAGACTAAAGTGTCTCATGGTTGGTAAGTAACAGAGTCAGGATTGCCATTCACATCGTCAGATTCCAAAGTCATTGTCGTCATCGTCATCATCATCATCATCACCTTTTATTCCTCCTCTCCTGTTATTATTATTCTGCAGCACTTATTGAATGCTTGTTGTGTACTAAGAATCAACTAAGTATTTTATACATGCCATCTTCTTTGATTCTGACAATAATTCTATCAGGTAGGTACCATTATTATCCCGATTTCAGAGATAAAGGAATTGAGGCTTAGGGAAAATCTGTGATTTTCCCAGTGCCATCCAGACAGCAAAGCCGGACAACAGGCTTTAACCTTAGCATCGCTCACTCCCTAAGAGTCTGCTCCTTAACCACAGTGTTATTTGGATGCACAGAGGAAAGATGAGTATTTATAAGCTCTCCTCTTGGCCCTATTTCTTTTCTATGTTCATTACTCAATTCCTCTGAAGGACTTAATGAATGAATACATTCTCTAATTTATAGTAGAAAATATACAAAAATTATAATGAATAAGCAGTGCAATGTGTTACCTCTTCCAAGCACATTTGCATCTTAAAGTACCTACAAAGGGTAAGGGTTAAAGTTAAGGCATTAATTGGCCTAGAAGACATTTTTTTGATAATTTTTATTTTTAAGCATTTAAATTTTTTTTTTTTGGCCACTCCCTCTATGAAGCTCACTCTAATCCCCATAGAAGGTTCCACCCCCGCCAATCAGAATTGCTCCTTTTCATGTGCTGCCACCACTGCTGCTGTTTCCATTGAACATCTCTGCCTAGATCTGTGCATCCTCTGGTAGACTGTCATCTTCCTCTGGGGCATCTCCTGTAATAACCTTGTTTTTGCAGGCACACCATAAAGATGTGTTGAGGTAAGGTTAGTAATGGAGAGGGTGATATTAGAAGTGTGTATTTTGAAAGGTGATGGGTGAGGAGATGCAAAGCAGACCTCACTGTAAAGGCTGACTCATGCCGTAGAAAAAGCCCCAGGTACAGTCTTAACTTTGATTGATGGGAGTAAGACCCCTTCTTTTATGGGACTTCTTTGGCTCAACAAATAAAAAATGTAGTCACAGTCCTAGATCCCACATTGGGCCAGTCTAGTCTTCCGTTCATTCATGCGTGCATTCAAGCTTTTATTTACTATCTATGATAGAGGAGTCATGTGGGACAGTAAGTGAGAATCAAGGGAAGAAAGGGGTGATTAACACAAATCAGTGATTGCAGCCATAAGACAACTCAAAGTTCCCAGTCCGGCTCAGATGTGTCAATAGCGGTATCTTTGAGAGCGAAGGAAAGTGGGCCTGGTGCCAGGGCGTAATCACTCCCCGGGGTTGAGGTCCTCCTCACTCACCTGTGTCCCAGGTACAGCAAGCCTGCCATCTCAGGCTGGAATATATTCCATTAGCTAGAATAGGCCATTTCCCTTGCGCTTGCCTCAAGTTTTACTTTTCTAGGCTTATTTCCTTTAAGTCTTTACAATTAATGATCGAATTGATCAATACACATGATTAAATAAATATATGAATGATCTTTTGAAATTGTTTGTAATGGATAGCTGTTTTCTGGCTACCCATCTTCTGTTTCATCCTTTTTCTGTAAACTTCTGGCTTTCTTGTGGGAAACTGCCTTTCCTTTCTGGTTTATAATTGTGATGGGAATTTAAGTCGTGATGCCCTGCCCATTAAACACTCCCACTGTGGGGCTTTGACTTGAGTGGAATGACTCAAGGGAGGAAAAGAAAGAAGGAGACTGTTAAGTAATTCCTGCTACCAAGCTGTTTCTGTAAGCTAGTGGTTCCTGATTGGTAGATTAAGCTACTGCATCTTGTCTACAAATCCCCTGTATGCTCCCAAATGCTGTCTATAGACAGAGTAAAAATAAGTCTCACACATGCATGTACCACTATCTTTCAGATTTCCAAAGGAATTATTGAGATTAATAAATTAAAATTTCATTTACCACTTCACTAGATTCACTGTAGCTTTTGGTTTTAATATATATTCTTAAATAATGGACATTGAAAGGACAACCTCTTTTTTTTATAGTCACAAAGGGTCTTTTTTTTTTAAATGGAACCCATAGGCATAAAGTTCTTACAGGGTTAGAAGAACATCTTAGACCACTTTGAAATCCCTCCGTGTCCATTAGGAAATATCATTCACGAAAGATTCTGTCGATTGAAGAAAGGGAAACCAACAAAACTCTTTCCTCAAACATAGAAATCATTTATGTATTTAGTTTTTACCAAGAGTCAAGAATGTTTACCAAAAAGACGAGTTGGATTAGTGACTGCCATGCTTCTGTGAAACTCTTGGTGTCTGTTTCTACATGATTCCCAGGCTAAAGGAATACCAAGGAGAGCCACCACAACCTGGGGATAAGGATAGCAAAATGGCGGCACTGACCGTCCTGTGTGGACTGCTCAGCTGACTGTGCCAAGGAATAGGGGTTACAGGGTAGGCAAACCATGCCAACCAAGGAAGCTACACAGGAGGTATGTTGCAACCTTGGAAGAACACTAAAGTTTTTTTTTTCATTTTAAGTTATCAGTTGTCTAAATGGTGAAAGCAAATGTTCTTCACGCCCCAGCTGCTGAGCTAGGTGATTGAGGTTTTCTTCCTGGTATACAAATTAAGCAACCCTCTGATTTCTGAGAATCCTATCTGAAAACTAATGACAGTTACCAGCATTTGATAACCTTTCTGCTTCCTGGTAGGTGAAGGTTCTTTTCAAGATAACCCACAACAGAGTGACTGGCAGTTACTTTCCTCTGGCTCTGGATGAGGAAATCATTTGCATATTCAATCACTCTAGAGGTCCCTGCCTGCCCTAGTGATTCTCCCACAAAAGCAGGCAGATTGGGCTGGAGGGCTCTGAGGGAGACTATCTTAAGGATTTTTTACAGTTTGAGTTCCCTTTTGTCAAGTGGACAAATATTCTGTTTCCCAGTTGGGCTGACTAAAAGTAATCTTGAGATCTTGCTATGGCATTTCCTGAACATACAGGGCATGGGCTTGGCATGCCAAGCAAATACTGGAAATAGGATGATTTCTTCTGTCATTTCTAAAAGGAACTAATTGTTGGCAAAATTGTTAACAATTGTCTGTGTAATTCCCTGTAAGGGCATGCAGTCGCACCCTGTATCTCTCTTGTTTACTTCTGGGTCCCCAGAGCATGCTACAGCATCCGGCAGATAGAAGGCTTTTAATAAATACTTGATGAATGAATGTGTGAGTGGTCTGATGCCTGAAATATGGGCAGGTGCCATCAGATGGCCAGTGGCACCTTAAGGGAGTATTACACAGACAAACTTTTCTGTACAAATTCTTTCTTGCTGTGGATAACTGAAACACAAGAAGATGATATGAGATCCAACACTTTGTACCTCATGTTTTGGCAAAAAAATTCACAAAGAAGAAAGCATGAGTTTCAGTTCAAGAAACTATATTAAGTTGTTCATGAGAGATATGATCACAATGTGTCACCTCTGCTGATAAACCACAAAACAAAGATCCTAGTACAGTGTCTGGCAACAGGAGGACCTCATCAGATGGTGGTTGAGTAAATGAATTTATTGAACGGACTATAATAGTTGAGAGTGGCAAGAGCAAAGTCCATGGGAGCACAGAGGAAGGAGTGATTACCTGTGGGACACCGGTCAGAGTGTTGCCTAGGCAGAGAGAGGTCAGAAGGGAAGGGCTTTTTGGGAAGAGGAATAACACTAGGGACTATAGGAGAGAGACAGAGGGTATTAAGCCCCCTTCCTTAAGGATGAACGACCATGGTCACACATAAGTTAGGTTTATATATTTCTGATGAGTCATAGATATAATGGATATTTATTGCTGTGCTGTTCAGAACTCTCACACCCCACAGACCAATTTCAAACATGAGGTTCAAGTGGAGGATGCCAATCACAGAGTCCTTTGTTTCTGGCCAGAGTTAATTTGTCTAGGAATGGGTACATTGTACCAGCCAGGCCAGGCAGTACGTTTCCCCAGGATGCTTTTCAATCTAGACATCAGGGAAGGTTGCTAGACCCTCTCTGGGGGTTAAGCTATAAAGCACAAATACTACTGGTACCACGTTTCATTCCACATGAAGGAAGTTGGTTTGAAAGATTCATACCAAACATATCACAAGAAACATAGACAAGAGATGGACATCATACTGATGGATTCTGAAGCCCTCATTCCACATGAACCTGAGGTCCAACCCACCCCATATTTTTCTAATAAATTTAATTTTTTGTCCACACTATTTTGAATTACAGTTCTGTCACATGTAACCAAGAGTCTTAACTAATCCGTATACCATATTAGATTGGTATGGTTTTCATTTGAGATATCAAATATTTCCCACATTGACCTTAAATACCTACAATTGGTTAAGACAGTGAAGGCCAATACTAAAATGTAAATACGTTGTCTTGGGTACTGGAGGTGGTGGGAAGGAGAAAACTTTAAGATATAATTCATTAATACCTTAGGCTATCATCCATAACTTTAAGATATTATCCATTAATATTTCACCTTTCAGGCCGGGCGCAGTGGCTCACGCCTGTAATCCCAGCAGTTTGGGAGGCTGAGGAGGGTGGATCACGAGGTCAGGAGTTTGAGACCAGCCTGGCCAACATAGTGAAACTCCGTCTCTACTAAAAATACAAAAAATTAGCCGGGTATGGTAGTGGGCACCTGTAATCCCAGCTACCTGGGAGACTGAGGCAGGAGAATCTTTTGAACCCAGGAGGCAGAGGTTGCAGTGAGCTGAGATCGCGCCATTGCACTCCAGCCCAGGCAACAGTGCAAGGCTCCGTCTCAAATAAAAACAAAAACAAAAACAAAAACAAAAACAAACAAACAAAATTTCATCTTTCACAAACCTAGCAGAGTTTCCTCGTAAGGCTCTAAAGGAAAAGACCTTTCAATAGAAATGTGAAAATAATGCTAGACATTGGGAAGAGGGGACATTGTGTGGGTGTGTGAGGAGAGTGTGTACCCACATGCAAGTAGAAGACTGGAGGAGATCACCACAAGGAGGCCAGAAGTCTATAGAAAATAAAAGTAACAGTTTTTCATAGGGTTGCCCCATCACCATCAAGTTATCATTATTATAAATAATTAAACCTAACATTTATAGAGCTTTAGAATTTTCATACATATGAAAATTATATTCATTTGAGAAATAAAACTACATCTAAAGAAAGTTAAGAATATTTCCCGCAATGGGATAAATAATCAGGTACGTCAGAACTGAGTTCTAATTTGGTCTCAACACTATATTACCTGGATAATCTTTGACAAATTTGATCTCTCTGAAGTTATTTTCTCATCTCTAATATGTTGCTAGTTCCTAAAATTTCAACCTCATAGAATTTCTGTGAGTGTTAAATATCAAAAGGGGGTGGTGTAATGCAGTGGATAAGGAATTTGCCTGATGTGGGAAAAAGATTACGTATTTAATGTGGATGAGGTGGACTAAAAAACCTCTATTCTTGAATTTGAAGGGTCAGCATGAATCTAGATGTATTTAATCTTAAAAGTGTCCTAGTTCTGTTCATTTAAATGGCATAGAAATAATAATCAACCCAATAGTAATAAACTCCTCTAGCATGTACTTATTGTGGTTTCTATTAAAAGGAACCAGATCTACCAAAGACCACTAACGTTATGTGAAAAGGACTCAGGAGCCACTTCTCATTTTTAAGAAGCTCCCACTGGCTAGAGATGGGGCAATAATGAAAGACAATAAATGCATTGATTTGACATATGTCAGATATTTTTAAAACCATGAGTTCATATTGATGCTAAAAAAGAAAAACCCACTGAACACCTTTGGAGGATCCTAGGCAACCAACTCATTATTTTGAAAATGTAAATGAGAGGAAAGACTCAAAAACATCCGTTTTCTCTACAGAGGACACTTAGGAGTGACCCAATACTTCACGAAGGGAAATTTTTCCTTATAAACCAATTAGAATATCACTAGTTTTTCAAATTCCATTGAAGTCATAGATCTAAACAACCATCATCAATGACTATTAACAGTGAAAAAAGATAGATGTTTGTGCCTTGAGATGGTAGCACACTGCAGTTCCTATGACATAACATTGACATGCACATGCACAAATGCCAAATCTAACCCCAGTCCGACTTAGGCACTAGATCCTACTACCATGTTGTAAAAGTATAGCGGTCAGAAAAACATGTTAAATGGTTCCACAGGAAGACAACTCACAGACTATAAGAAATCGTACAGGGGCTGGGTGCAGTGGCTCACGCCTGTAATCCCAACAGTTTGGGAGGCTGAGGTGGGCGGATCAACTGAGGTTGGGAGTTTAAGACCAGCCTGACCAACATGGAGAAACCCCATCTCTACTAAAAATACAAAATTAGCTGGGCATGGTGGCACATGCCTGTAATCCCAGCTACTCTGGAGGCTGAGGCAAGGGAATCGCTTGAACCTAGGAGGCAGAAGTTGTGGTGAGCTGAGATCGCGCCATTGCACTCCAGCCTGGGCAACAAGAGTGAAACTCTGTCTCAAAAAAAAAACACAAAACAAAACAACAACTACAACAACAAGAGAAATCATACAGGACAAACAACCTGGTTTATTAAGCAACAAAAACTATGCATTAAAAAGAGAGCTAAATGGGGCACTTACAGAATAAAAGAGATTAAAGAAATTATCTCAATACTTGTTCTTATTTGGATGCTGATTCAAACAAATGGAAAATATTGAAAACTGATTTGAAAGCTGATATCAAAGAATTGTTGCTAATTTTTAGGTATGATAATATAATCATATATTTTAAAAATCCTATCCTTCAGAGATAGTAAAATATTTACAGTGAAATGAAATATTGAAGATCTGCTTCAAAATAATTTGCAGAGAGTAGAGGGTGGGGAGACAGATAAAATAAGACTGGTTATAAACTGATTGTTGAAATTAAGTGATGGGTCCATAGAAATGTATCATATTATTCTCTCCAGTTTTGTATATACTAATAATAAGAGCTATCTATGACAAACCCACAGCCAATATCATACTGAATGGGCAAAAACTGGAAGCATTCCCTTTGAAAACTAGCACAAGACAGGGATGCCCTCTCTCACCACTCTTATTCAACATAGTTTTGGAAGTTCTGGCCAGGGCAATCAGGCAGGAGAAGGAAATAAAGGGCATACAATTAGGAAAAGAGGAAGTCAAATTGTCCCTGTTTGCAGGTGACATGATTGTATATCTAGAAAGCCCCATCGTCTCAGCTCAAAATCTCCTTAAGCTGACAGGCAACTTCAGCAAAGTCTCAGGATACAAAATCAATGTACAAAAATCACAAGCATTCTTATACACCAATAACAGACAAACAGTCAAATCATGAGTGAACTTCCATTCACAATTGCTTCAAAAAGGAATAAAATAGCTAGGAATCCAACTTACAAGGGATGTGAAGGAACTTTTCAAGGAGAACTACAAACCACTGCTCAATGAAATAAAAGAGGATACAAACAAATGGAAGAACATTCCATGCTCATGGGTAGGAAGAATCAATATCATGAAAATGGCCATACTGCCCAAGGTAATTTATAGATTCAATGCCATCCCCATCAAGCTACCAATGACTTTCTTCACAGAATTGGAAAAAACTACTTTCAAGTTCATATGGAACCAAAAAAGAGCCCGCATTGCCAAGTCAATCCTAAGCCAAAAGAACAAAGCTGGAGGCATCATGCTACCTGACTTCAAACTATACTACAAGGCTACAGTAACCAAAACAGCACGGTACTGGTACCAAAACAGAGATATAGACCAATGGAACAGAACAGAGCCCTCAGAAATAATGCCACATATCTACAACTATCTGATCTTTGACAAACCTGAGAAAAACAAGCAATGGGGAAAGGATTCCCTTTTTAATAAATGGTGCTGGGAAAACTGGCTAGCCATATGTAGAAAGCTGAAACTGGATCCCTTCCTTACACCTTATACAAAAATTAATTCAAGATGGATTAAAGACTTAAATGTTAGATCTAAAACCATAAAAACCCTAGAAGAAAACCTAGGCATTACCATTCAGGACATAGGCATGGGCAAGGACTTCATGTCTGAAACACCAAAAGCAATGGCAACAAAAGCCAAAATTGACAAATGGGATCTAATTAAACTAAAGAGCTTCTGCACAGCAAAAGAAGCTACCATCAGAGTGAACAGGCAACCTACAGAATGGGAGAAAATTTTTGCAATCTACCCATCTGACAAAGGGCTAGTATCCAGAATCTACAATGAACTCAAACAAATTTACAAGAAACAACCCCATCAACAAGTGAGCGAAGGATATGAACAGACACTTCTCAAAAGAAGACATTGATGCAGCCAAAAGACACATGAAAAAATGCTCATCATCAGTGGCCATCAGAGAAATGCAAATCAAAACCACAATGAGATACCATCTCACACCAGTTAGAATGGCAATCATTAAAAAGTCAGGAAACAACAGGTGCTGGAGAGGATGTGGAGAAATAGGAACACTTTTACACTGTTGGTGGGACTGTAAACTAGTTCAACCATTGTGGAAGTCAGTGTGGCAATTCCTCAGGGATCTAGAACTAGAAATACCATTTGACCCAGCCATCCCCTTACTGGAAATATACCCAAAGGATTATAAATCATGCTGCTATAAAGACACATGCACATGTATGTTTATTACAGCACTATTCACAATAGCAAAGACTTGGAACCAACCCAAATGCCCAACAATGATAGACTGGATTAAGAAAATGTGGCACATATACACCATGGAATACTATGCAGCCATAAAAAATGATGAGTTCATGTCATTTGTAGGGACATGGATGAAGCTGCAAACCATCATTCTCAGCAAACTATCGCAAGGACAAAAAACCAAACACCGCATGTTCTCACTCATAGATGGGAATTGAACATTGAGAACACATGGACACAGGAAGGGGAACATCACACACTGGGGCCTGTTGTGGGGTGGGGAGAGCGGGGAGGGATAGCATTAGGAGATATACCTAATGCTAAATGACGAGTTAATGGGTGCAGCACACCAACATGGCACATGTATACATATGTAACAAACCTGCACGTTGTGCACATGTATCCTAAAACTTAAAGTATAATAAAAAAAAATTTCCATTACAAAAAGCAAACAAACAAACCAAAGAACTATGCCCGAGTTTGAATCTGAGCTCAGTTAACCTAGAGAACAGGGTTTCTTAACTGTTCTTGCCTCATTTGTTAAATAGATAATAAAAGCACCTATTTTACAGGGTTTTTTTGAGTAGTAGAAAGAAATAATAGATATAGAACACTTAGAAAAACTGCCTATGGCACATAGGTGTTTAATCCAGTTATCTGTTGTAATCTCTTCTTGATATTTTATACTATTATGAAGTCATATTTTAAAAGAATCCTAGAAAATGTGATCTGTGCTCAACATTTAAGCACTGATCAACAGGTAGAAAGCACTAAGTTTCATTCTTAAATGAAATTTGGAGAAGCCTGTCAGGGACAGGTCCCAGTGCAAATCTAGCAGGAAAGAGGAACTTTCTCTGGTTCTCAAGAGCAGGCAAGGTTAGAAGATAGGTTGCTACCTTTTGCTTTAACTGAGGTTTGACATCACTGAACTGGGAAGGTAATAAATTTCTCCCTATTGGATCTCAACTCTTTGTTGGCAAAATGCTCCTCTAAGTACCTTAAAATCAATACATACTTTCACTGCAGAGGATCCAAGCTATAGCAGCTATTCGTAATTGAGCAAATGGCTTAAAAGCACTAACCATTGGTGGCATGCAAGCTAGTCAAAAGGGAGACTCAATGGAGAATTTTTAACCTGAGCAACAAACAGATACATATGATTATTACGTTGATTATTGATGCTCTAGGCCAGTGTCTTTCAAACTTTCATGTACACATGAATCACCTGAGGATCCTGTTAAAATGCAGATTCTGGTTCAGTCTGGGATGGGGCCTGAGATTCTGCATTTCTGACAAGCTCTCAGTGATGCTTACTGAAGTGGCTAGTCCGCAGATCATACTTGGCATAGCAAGTTCCCACTTGGCCCTGGGGAATGATCTGACCCATGCTTCAGTGGGACTTAGGCTTCAGTGATTTGGAAAATAGATAGCCAGGGACATGTTTGATCTGAAACACTAACTGGAAGCATTCATTTCTGATTCTTTGGCTTAGATAACTGTTACATTTATCAAAATGAATGCTATATACTCCTTTCCAGGTGTTAAATTCCTAGGTTAAAACTCTTTTACAGAAGAGGTTTCAGGTATCAGAATGTCACCAAAGAGAAAACTGTACGTTTGAATTCTCTAATAAAGTCCTCTTGCCAGCTGGACAGGTTTTTAGCAAATCCTAATTCCTTCCCTTTCCCCTCTTTTTTTAACAATGGGAAGTGAGAGTGAATCTCTCAAAAATAGGTCAATAATTTTATAAATTCAAAGATGGCCCATTGGGATAAAAGTTCCAATGAAAAAAAAAGTAGATTTAGTCCAAGAAGAATTCTGAGGAAAGGATTTGAAACTAACTCTTTGGCAGCCTTGAGGATAATCTGCAATGTCATGGGAGAAAGACCCTTTTAAGAAGTTCTTTAATGTTTATAATTTCATTTGAACCTAAACAGGAAAAGGAAGAATGAACTGCTTAAGCCATGAGGATTGTCAACTTCTTTGTTACCCTTCACCTGTTGTGACCATGTCTGTACCACAATTCAGGCTAATATTTTCTGAAAAGGTCCATAGGAATGTTAATAATATTTGTGCTGAAAAATAATTCTTAGGTTAAATAAATTTGGAGAGCTCAGGGCTAAAGAAAGTTTAACAGGCCTATTGACTCCAGGCTTTCTCAGAGACGTTAATATGTTAATGAACATTGGAACCTGCAAGAGGGGTTCACAGGACAAAAGCTTCTTAATTTGACTTGTAAACTGTAATCTGACTTGACCACGGACCATGAGTTTTTCAAGAACTGTCTCTTGGGACAAGTGCTTAGCAGACTGTGAGAAATGCAGATCTATGTGAGCTGGGACAAAGTATGTCTTACTGACTTTGAATTACCCGAATATAGTAATTCTCATCATCCAGAAGATGGTAAAAATGAGTGTGGGTATATATGTGGGGTTAGATGTTCCTAGTAATCTCTGTGGTTAGTAAAAACCCTTTTGGCAAGGTGAAGGTCTCAAAGACAGTAGGGACTTAGAGGGAGAATAAACTATCAAGAGCCATTAATACTTATTATGTAAGATATTAAATTTCCAAACAAACCATATTTGTAGGTGTTCAAAATCTCTGAGATGATTAGTGAGATTTGCTCTTTCAGTGCCTCAGAGGTTTCATGTGTAAAATAGGGATAGTAATGCCCACCTCCCATGGTGATCTTAGGCTTAAAATAGACAATGCATGTAAAAGAACTAGTATATAGTAAAAAGTACCTAGATGGTAGTTTTCTCCCCATTATTAGGATAAGTGTTTCTGGAAGCACTGGAGATGGCGCCTCTCCTTGGTTGTACAGGTTTTCAAGGAGGTGGTGGTAGGTTTATATCGAGATTGTCTGGGAGAAAATTTTTAAAAATATGCACACTCAAGTCCCTACTCAGTCCTAGTGAGTCATAATTTACTGGTGGTGATACAGAAGGATGCATATATATTGTTAAAAACTTCCCGTGTGATGATTATGATACACCTTCAACACCTGTAATATACTTGCAGCAAATCCCTTAGTGGTAGCCCACCCCTCCTACAGTAGTTCTGAGATGTGTTTCTTGGGATAAAAGTTTCTTGTGCTTAAATATTTAGAAATACTACATAATAGCACCTGTCCTTCTCCTTGGGGCTTATTAAAGTATCAGAGAAATTCTGCAGAACACATATTTGAAAGCTTGTAATCTATTGTCTTCTCATATTACTTGGCCTTGCAACATTTATTTTTCTTGCAACTCTCATCAACATGTTTGTTCAATACGTTAGGGAAATCCTATGGTACCGAGTTAGCCAGAAGCGAGTTCTATCCATACTCAGAAATCTTTCTGCCCTAAAAGTATAAGGGAGAAGCAAGGTCGCAAAGAGCAGCCAAGATGTCTCCCTCCAGGGAGCAGGCTGAGCCCACTTTCATTATCCCTGCCACCCTCTATCTCTATGTGGAAAGAATCCTGGCAACAATAAATGTGTGCTTTCAAGTAAGCATCTCTGTGTGAACGCAAGGTAACAGTTAAAGGGCCAGGGAGATGAAGTACTGAGCCTTAAAAACTGAGGCTCTGGGACCGGGCACAGTGGCTCACGCCTGTAATTCCAGCATTTTGGGAGGCTGAGGCAGGCGGATCATGAGGTCAGGAAATCGAGACCATCCTGGCTAACACGGTGAAACCTCGTCTCTACTAAAAATACAAAAAATTAGCCGGGCGTGGTGGCCGGCACCTGTAGTCCCAGCTACTCGGGAGGCTGAGGCAGGAGAATGGCGTGAACCCGGGAGGCGGAGCTTGCAGTGAGCAGAGATCGTGCCACTGCACTCCAGCTTGGGCGACAGAGCAAGACTCTGTCTCAAAACAAAAACAAAAAACAAAACAAAACAAAACAAAAAACTGAGGCTCTGGACAAACCTGGCTTTGAATCCTGCTTCAACACTTCCCGGCTCAGTGACCTTGGGCAAGTTACAGGACCTCTGTATGCCCCAGTTTCGTTTTGTATAAAATGGAGACAATAATAGTGCCCATCTCATTGGGTTGTTTTGAGGATAGACGAGATAATCATGCAAAGCCCTTAGTATGGAATCAATAAAAGTCTATTATTATTACTAAAATGAAAAAAACACTCTTGAGCAAAGTGAGGGGGAGAATCAAGAACTGAGACAGAGTAGAGAACCCTGGAAAGCTTCAAGCTCAAATAATCTTCCTTTCACATAGGAATTTACCTCTCTCTCTTTTTTGTTTTTCTTTTTGTAAATCATCTCAGCGAGTGCTCTGTGAGAACTGAGGGTTAGGGTTGGAGAGACTCATTAAATAGGCTGGTCTATAGCACCGGAGTGTGAATGACCCTTTTACCTGACTCTTCATTCCAGCTAAATCCCAAACTATCTGACTAATTAATATGCAAAACATAGTTTGGGAACTGCTGCCAAAGACAAAAAGAAGTCACTGGTTGAACTGAAACAACACTGAAATGACTGCCAGAGAGAGTAAGAAACATTCAGAATGTTGGGGTAGGGAGGCTAAAGGGGAGATTTATAAGTTTTACTGCTCCTAGAACTTTAAAAAAAACAAAAACGGTAGAATAGGCCAGGCACCGGGGCTCACACCTGTAATCCCCACACTTTGGGAGGCCAAGGCAGGTGGATCACTTCAGGTCAGGAGTTCGAGACCAGCCTGGCCAACATGGCAAAAACCCTGTCTCTACTAAAAATACAAAAAATTAGCTGGGTGTGGTAGTGCACGCCTGTAATTCCAGCTACTTGGGAGGCTGAGGTAGGAGAAACCCTTGAACCCAGTAGGCATAGATTGCACTAAGCAGATTGTGCCACCGTACTCTAGCTTGGGTAACAGAGCGAGACTGTCCAAAAAAAAAAAAAAAAAAAAGGTAGAATAGCATAGAAAGTCTCAGAGTGCCTTGCATGTGGTGAGGCTAAGGTGTCATTCTTACATACTCATTCACACGCATATACACACGTGTATGTGTGTCAGCATGTGTGAGTGTGTGTGTATCTATGTGTAATATTTTATACATTTCTCATTGTTACTGTTGAAAAGACTTGAAAGCCTCTGGTCGAAGGGCAGGCTACAGAGTTCTGAGCCCAGAAACAGGCTGTTATTGCTTGTCTAGAATGACTCTGTGAACTTAGACCAGATCTCACCCTGCCTTTTTGCAAACACTAGGGTGATTTAGCAAATGCGGCTGTAATAAGCAAAGGGTGAGAAAACTCAGAGACAGGCCCCTTGCTCAGTGATTGACTCAGAGCCTGGAGACCAGTGGACATGCTGATCTACAGTGAGTGGTGGTGGTTTCCATTTCCAGTGGTGGCAACTGCAGCCTCAGTAGCAGCAATGGTTCCCATTTATTGTGAGTCTCTTGGGTAGCAAACTCTTTATTCTGTTCTTTACTTTCCTTATACCATTTGAATTTCACAGCAAAACCATGGGATAGCTATTATTATTCCCATGATATGCATGAGAGAACAGGCTTCTGAGGACCAAATCAATCACACAAAAAGGGTTTTATGAGAGCTGTTTATCAGGTGCTTAGAGAGAGGCAAGGCAAGGTACAATGACCCTTGCTCCTAGAACTTAAAAACTTATTTTGAGAAGTTTGAGTCTGGAAAACTGCACTCTAGCTCATGAGAATCTCTGAGGAATAAATCATTTGCTTTCCTTCTCCCAAATCCTCTGACTCATTCCATTTCTCCCCAGCCAAAGGCTGGCAGAATGAAGAAAAGTGATAAAATTGTACTCTTTTCCCTGGTTAAAGAAAGGGACCATATTGGAAATCAACTCCCACAAGGAGAATTTTAATTGCAAATTGGGATATCACACCCAGCTTCAGTCAGTCAACACATATTGCCTATGAAAGCATTGATATTAATACCAACTGTTCCCTGGTCTTTTACTATGTGCCTATCTTCATGCTAAGTAAGTCATGTACCTACCATTTAGTCTTCAAAACTACCCTATGGAAAGGGAACTATTTTTGTCCCCATTTTCCAGATGAGGGAACCAAGGTGTGAGAGGACGGTAACTTGCCCAAGGTGAGATGGCTGATGAGTGGTGAGACCTGGGCTTTGAACCCATCTCAGTCAGACCCCAGAGCCAGAGCTTTTACCCACCAAACAATAATGATTTCTCCATGATGTCTGAGGTACCATTTATGAAAGGGTGGGGATTAAACAAAAGTGTCAATGCCACTGCACTCCAGTCTGGGTGACAGACTGAGAGCCAGTCTCTCTCTTTTTTTTTTTTTTTTTTTTTTGAGACGGAGTCTCACTTTATTGCCCAGGCTGTGATCTTAGCTCACTGCAACCTCTGCCTCCTGGGTTCAAGTGATTCTACCGCCTCAGTCTCCTGAGTAGCTGGGACTACAGATGCCTGCCATCACGGGGCTGGCTATTTTTTAAATTTTTAGTAGAGACAGGGTTTCACCATGTTGGCCAGGATGATCTGGAACTCCTGGCCTCAAGTGATCTACCTGCCTCTCGGCCTGCCAAAATGCTGGGATTACAAGCTTGAGCCATTGCACCCAGTGGAGACCCAGTCTCTTAAAAAAAAAAAGATATCAGTGATCTCTGTCTGCCCTCAAGGAGGCTTAAGCACTGTTGAGAAGTTAAGGAATACACAAATGGAAACATAGTTAATGATACCTTGCTGCAGTTTAGGAGGGGCAGAAGGAATATTAGGATTCGTGGCAGGAGAGATTGCTAGGACTGAGCTGGGCAGAGTGAGTTGGGATTGGATGAGCACAGAAGAGGAGTTGGTCCTAGTGATGATGGAACAGACATTAGACTCCTCAGTTCAGAGCAGAGAGTATAGTTTCCTCAGTTGAACAGAGTGGATCCCCATTTAGAAACTCTGAGGCCTTCAGCAAGTTATTTAACTTTACTAAGCCTCAGTTTCCTCATCTGTGATATGCAGATAATATCCATCTCAGAGGGCTGCTGGTAGGATTTAGTGTATCTAAAGTGCTAGGGAAAAGGAGGCATCTACTACTTTCCCCTCTACCCAGTAGGTTTAGTTCAATTTTCCAGTAGGGTAGGCTTGCATCCTTTCTATGACTTTACCATTGAAGATATTAGAAAGAGCCCTACCTGCTGTGAGAAGCCCTTCACGACACATCTTTGCTTGAGGTTTGTCTCTCCATCCAAGCTGGCAGTTTCCAGATGGCATATCCCATTGGGGTCAGAGGAAAAAAGGAGGAGTATGTCTGCTGGGACAATCTCATTGCATTTCATTTGGATGAAGTCTCCCACGCGCACATCCTTCCAGCACTTCTGCACATAGGTCTGCTCTTTTCTTGGGTGAGAGAAAGACAGGGTGTGAGTGAGCTTTAAGTTTCCTCAGAACACTAATGAAAGAATAGAGGAAGGTCCCACCAGCACCTAACTATCCACCAAGTCAGCCTGTCATGAGATTGCCTTGTATTCTACCTTACCCCTGAATGACCACCTCATAATCTCTCTAGAATAGCTAGGCATAATCTACAGAATCTCATTAGTAAAGATCTGTCTTTGGCCGGGTGTGGTGGCTCACACCTGTAATCCCAGCACTTTGGGAGGCCGAGGTGGGTGGATCATGAGGTCAGGAGTTCGAGACCAGCCTGGCCCATATGGTGAAACCCTGTCTCTACTAAAAATACAAAAATTAGCTGGGTGTGGTGGTGCGTGCCTGTAGTCCCAGCTGCTCGGGAGGCTGAGGCAGGAGAAACGCTTGAACCTGGGAGGCGGAGGTTGCAGTGAGCCGAGATTGCGCCACTGCACTCCAACCTGGGTGACAAAGCAAGACTCTGTCTCAAAAAAAAAAAAAAAAAAAAAAAAAAAACCCAAACCAAAACAAAATCTGTTCTTATGAACATTTAGAATTTTTCTTGCCTGCCAGTTCTTGACCAAGTTCTGTGTTCAGCCCTTGCTTCCTTAAAAGATAAAAATTTTAAAGGAGAAGGTAACTGTATTGTCATATTAATATGGTTCTACTGTTAATATCCACTATTTACCAGAATAGCCAGTTATTACCAAAGAAAATAGAGTTTCAGGGAACTGGGATATGGGAAAGATTGTTTTTGATTATAAGGAGAGTGACGATAGGAAAGGCGAGGATCTCTGCCACTGTCTAGGAAGATCCGGAGCCACACTGAAACAGAACACTCTGGGCAGTCCAGGAATTAGGAGGATGCTACCAGGAGTTTTGATGAAATGAGACCTCACAGTAACTGTGGAATTAGAGGGCCGAAGAAATCTGAGGAAATCTGAGGAAATTATTTTATCTTCCTATCCAATTTATCAAGCTGAGATAATAGTGACAGGAACAATGACAAATTTAGCATTTCTTACCTGCCAAGCACTTGTGTTCATTAACATTTCATTTACTTTGCATAATAACCCACAGGAGTAGATATTATCATACCCATTTCACAAGTGAGGTAATTGGGGGTCAAAAGAAATTTTTCAAAGTCTCACAAAAACAGAGCTGGAACCTGAACCTGGGTCCAGCCCGACACCAAAACCCACAGTTTTTGCTGCTTGGGTATACTACCTCCCTGCAGCCTCAGCCTTCCCACCTCCAGCTAAGGAACTCCCCACTTCTCAAGGCAATGCATCCTTTTTTTTTTTTTTTTTTTTTTTTTGAGACAGAGTCTTGCTCTGTTGCCCAGGCTGGAGTGCAGTCGTACGATCTTGGCTCACTGCAACCTCTGTCTCCCAGGGTCAAGTGATCCTCCTTCCTCAGCCTCCTGAGTAGCTGGGATTATAGGCGCCTGCCACCATGTCCAGCTAATTTTTGTATTTTTAGTAGAGATGGGGTTTCACCATATTGGCCAGGCTGGTCTCAAACTCCTGACCTCAAGTGATCCTCCTGTCTCGGCCTCCCAAAGTGCTGGGATTACAGGCGTGAGCTACTGCTCCTGGCTGCATTGTATTTTCAAAGAACTCTCATTTCAGAAAGTCTTCCTTCTGCCTAACCAAATATTTAAACAGTTCTGCTCTTCCAGGTAATACGGTCTATTCCACCTTCTACCATTCTTTAAATATTTTAAGGCATTCATCAGGTGTCCCATGAAGACTTTGGGGTGTGCCAAGCCAAATTTAACTTTCCAGGTGCCCTCAATTATTCCTCATGTGACACAGTTTCAAGATCTGTTCCGGAGGTGTGGGCTCATCTGTCTGCATTTGGAAATGTCCCGCTTTAAGTGTGGGATTTGAAACCAAACTAATATCCCACATGTGGTCTTTCTAACTGAGCCCAGCTGGCTTGAAGCTGGGTGCCTCTGAAGGCAGCCAGACCGGGAGAAGCAAGCTTTCCTTTGCTGGGCTTCTTCACTGATGCTGAGCCCCTCTGGGCATGTTCTTGTTTCTGTTTCTGCTGGAATCTGAGCTGCACTGGGCATGACACATCTACTCTTCCACAGAGAAAGAGTTGTGAATAGAATTCCAGTTTTCTCCTTTGACATCACAAAAGTCCCTGAGGAGGAAGAGGGTTTTGGTGTCTTCCTCCCCTCCTGGAGGCCCTCTGGAGAATCTCAGACAAGTCTTCCTAAGATCCAATCTTCCTGGTTATAAAAGATCTTCTCAGAAGACTTCCCCAGCCACCTGAAATAAAGGTGCTTCCATTTGGAAGGCCAAGTCTATAAAATAAACAGGGACATTGGAATTGGGGAGCAACTTTAGAACTCGAAAGAACCACAGGGTTCTGTGGAAGTGCTCTGTGGCTCTGGGAGCTCAGTGCAGCAGACACGGTTAAATGTCATCCAAATGACTATTGAGACCCCTTCTGAGGATTCTGGGGGTGATGCGTCTGTAGCATTTTAGTAATAATTCCTCCTTACATGTGAAAGCACATAACAGGTTTCCAAGCACCTTTCAGTTAATCAGCTCATTCTGTGCTTCCACTCCACCCACATCCCTTTTCTTTTCCTTTAAATTTTTGCGGGTGCATAGTAGGTATATATATTTATGGGGTACATGGGATGCTTTCGTACAGGCATGCAATGTGTAATAATCACATCATGGAAAACAGGATATCCATCCCTTCAAGCATTTATCCTTTGTGTTACAAACAATCCAATTGTACTCATTTAGTTATTTAAAAATATATAATTGAATTATTATTGACTATAGTCACCGTTGTACTATCACATACTAGGTCTTAATCATTCTATTTTGTTTTGTTTTTTTTTTTTTTTTTTGGTACCCATTAACCATCCCCATCTCCCCCCAACCCTCACTTTTATTTTCTATGAATAATAGGGGCAGTCACCCCAGATTTGTTTCCCTGTGCCATTTTGGAAATACATTTGATTATTTAAACATTTTGTTGTTTATTTATATATTTAGGGTGGGAACTCCTTCACTAAGAGTGCCATTGTAACAGTCAAACACCTCGTGGTCTCTCTGCTGACTCAGGGGATAATATTTTTCCTTCTTCAAAGTAGCCCTGGGAAAACCTGTTAAATATCCAAGTATAAGGCTACTTACAGGCATTGGAATGGTCCATACTCTCTGTGAGAAAAGAATCTCATAGAGTGAAGGAGAGACTGGTTTTCTTTTTTCTTTTTGAGAGAGTGCTTTAAAGTGTTCTTAAATATTATAGCAAAATTGTCCCAAGGAACAAAGAATGTATCACTCATTCTGTCTTGTCTTCCTTTTTTTTCTCCCTTCTTTGGCTTCTGTGTCCTACTGGATAATGCCTTTGGGGATGTGGGGTATCAGTTGACTGCTATAATCTCAGCATTCTACCCAGTATTTGAGATTGGATTCAGGGAGAACACCTTCCACTCTGAGCAAATCCTGATCGCCAACCCTCCCAGAGCAAACTGGTTTTGATAAATACTCGTTGGCCAGTATCTGCATACAGAGGCATATCAAAGGCAAGGCCAATGCACCTCCACCCATGAACACTGAATCTCATTCTCCCCCTTTGTAATAAAGGACTGCACTGCTTATTCTAGAATGTGGATTATAAAGGTGCTGGAAGATGGAGTGCTATGGAGAGGAGCTTGTGGCATATGTGTTTTTCTGAGCTGTCACTTCTGTGAGCTGGGCTGGAGTATTGTCCTGTCAAGTCCTGTCATGATCTAAGTATCAAAGGAGCCACCCACAAGTGGTAAGTCAGACTAGTCTCTCTCTTCTTTACATTACTTGCTGGATCCCAAGGAGGTCACTGCTCTACTGGTTATAATTGCCTGTCTTTTCTTTAGACATAATCCTCTCTTCCTTAGGATCGCATGCAGTGGTGAAGAAATATTCTCAGTGACTGTTGTGGGTTTGCCTTCCCCAAGACAGAGATAGCCCAGTTCCAGGGTTGAGCTTCTCAAACAGAAGCACACATACCTCCAGGATACCCTGGTAGGCATCTAGGAATAATAAAGCTATGAGATCCATATGACTTTGGGAGCATTCATTAAAAAAAAAAAGTTTAGGGGAAACATAGTTCAGTAGTTTGGCCAGTACAAAATTTGAAAAATTTTATTTATAGTAACTAAACTTAGTTATGTTATGGAATCAGAGACACATTTTGTAGGAATTTTGGGGATTAAAAAATGAGATCAGGGATATTTCCTTCTTGCCCTGGGCCACTTTATGCTGATTCTCTAGCATCTACTTTGTCTCCTCCACTGTCAGGACCATATCTGTGGAAAAGTCAGGGATGCACACAGCCCAAGGGGGTTCAGTCAGGGGAGGTGATGACTGGCCGAATCCTGCTGATACAGAAAAGCAGCATGCTCTTGCATGGAGTGAAGCCCAGGGGAGACCAGCAGCTGGCCAGGAGCCGCCTGCAGAAGTCATTCTCTCATTAATCCAGCCTGTTTCGAACAGCTGCCCCAGGTGGAAACATCCACACACCCTGGACTGTCCCCCTACTAGAGGGTCCACACCTGGGAACTGACTGCTATTTTAGTTTTATGCCATGTTCACTGCTGTTTAAAAATAAGACAAATCAACATGGCTCGGGATGAAGGCTCCATCTGGCAGATTCTGCCACGAGGAAAATTAAGTGGTGCAGTGCTAAATGGCTTTCTGAGAGGAGATAGGGATTATTAAGAGGTAAATAAACAGCAAGAGAGGTTTGTAGCCAACTGGATGCCATGGGGGAGCAGGTGAAAGGCGAAATAGAGGGAGGAGAGGATGCTGAAGGCTCCATTTCTCAAGCATCTGGATTTTATTAAGAGAGTTTCAGGCAACTAGAGTAGAGGGGATTTTTCAGAAGGATTAGTTAACTTGTGGAACTTCCCATTCCACACAGGATGATGAGCTGGCCTGGCTGTCCTTCAGGAAGCTCGAATGCCAGGCCCAGAATGCTCAGTGCCATGTCACTAACCCAGGGTGAGAGAGGAATGCCCGACAGAGTGACTGCAGCATAGGGATTGAGAGAGGCTTTGAATCCTGGCTTCTCTGCTTACAACTTGTGTGACCTACAGATCACAATGGGGTTGGGGAGGTGGATTAGACTTGCAGGGCTCAGGGAAGCACCAGAAAGAAACAGCTGAGGCCAGAGAAGCAGGGGGGTGGGGGAGGGGGGGCGACCAGGACCCCTGGCTGGGCTGGAAATAGTGGAGGACACATGTGATATTTACCAATCTGAGGATGCCTAGATATATCTGTGGAGAGCTGAGGATTAGGGTGGGAGGACTGAGGTTCTAAGTCAGCAGATTGGAGCTGAATGGCATGGTCACTGGGACGTTTTTATTAATGGGACCTCATTCATACCCAGAAGCTAGTGAGGGCTGGAACATTTGGGTTACATTAATACAGTATAAAGTTCTTTATATTGGGAGGATGTTTGAAGCCCCAGGTCTGGGGATAACCCACTCCTGACCTTTTTGACCATGTGGTGGCAGTAAAGAAAGCAGAACTGCACATAGAATGTCACTAAGCAGTGATGGCCATGGAAACACAGTGCTTCAGAGGACATGGAAGTCACAGGTGCCATCCAGCAAGATCATAGCCATGGGTTACGATTCTTCAGCCTGGGGGTATTCAAGGATATGAATTGCCTCCCAAATGCTCATCCTTTAACCTCTGCAGATCCAAATGCTGCCTTTCTCTTTTCACTCCTGGGCACTGGACATGACGGTGCACATCTTGTTGCCACACTTCCCTGTATATTACCATCCTATTTCCTAATTGTCGTGTGCATCTTCTATTTTAAAGTACGTAAGAAGCTTGCTAAGAGCTGCGATGATCCTGGGTCTTATATTTCTATATGCACATAGGGTTGGGTATAGTGTTTAGCACATGGGGAGTGTTTAGTAAATATCAATTGATTCCTTGTATATTTTTCTTGAATACAGGTAGTAGAAAGGCAGTTTTTCCTAACCTTTGGCCATTTTAACATCTTTGTTATAGATACCCTAGTGGAGACTTCTAACAATGATATTTTAAATTATTAGCTTACATGTATTGACTACCTATAATGAACCCAGCATTTAACCTCCATTACAGGTTAGCTGCCTAATAATGGAATAGCTTTTATTTTTATCATTATCCCTATTTCATAGATGATGAAACAGGCTCAGAAAGTTATCTAACTTGCATAAGGTCACACAGGTGTGTCTACAAGGACAGATGAGTGATGGTGGTGGGAGTGACATGGCTCAGCATGGTCTCGTGGCTCTGTTTTGGAGTGAGGCATGAAGCTGATTGAGCCTCAGAAGAAGGTGACATAAACCTAGCAGAGGTTGGGTTGAGAACAGGAGCCTCACCTTTTGGAATTCTGATCTCCTTAATGGCAAAACAGAGGCCATAAATCCTTACCCGTGGACATACAAATCATGCCTGATGACAAGAGTGCGGAGCATCAGGGACACCTGAATTCTTGTTTTATGACTCTCCCACCCAGTGAGTTTTGGGGAGGACCTAAAGCATTCTCTCCTGAAATGACAAGCTGAATTCGCCCAAATGGTTTATGGCCTTCTGTGAGCACAGGGTGAGGCAGTGGGAGTAGCATGGGCACCTGCAAAATGGATGCTTCAGAAAGGAGCCTGGTTTGTTGGTGCCAAGTGTAGAGCAAAGGCCTGAAGGCTGGATGCAATGGTCTGCTGGTCTGTAAGTCCAGCCAACTGCACTTTTCATAGCCAGGAATGATAATGGATGTTTTTCTGTTGTCTGCATTTTTCAGAGTCCTCCCCGAGGCCCATTTTGTTATATTATTAGAGCTTGGAGTCGAGTTCTATGGTTAAAGATTTTTTTGTCTTCTTTCATGCAGTTCCAAACTCGAGCCTGTGGTCATTCTTTCTTACTCCCCTTGGGTTAAGCTCGTGATGACTTCTGCCTATCAAGGCTACCGAACTCTCCTTAGCAATATTTAAGCTAACATTTTATGAGTGCCACAGGCACAAAGCTAAGCATTTTACATGCAGTAACTCATTTAATACCTGCAGGCAGCAACCCCAGAATATACTTTTAGGGCAAAGATAGGCTTATGACTGTATTTTGATGTTCAGATAGCCCTGGCAAAGCTTAAATTCTGCCTGGTCAATCAGTTCATCTTCTTTTGGGGGTTTCCTTGAGGGCTGTTATTCAGAGGAAATATTAGTACCAAATTGCAGCTTTATTAACAGCTGTACAAATATGATATTCTAACATAGAGTCTATGTTAAGAAGTTGAGTTGGACCAAGTGGCTGAGGCTATGAGCCAGATGAGGCCACCTACATCCCTTTTCTGAATCTAAATCTTGGTGTGGGTATGTTCAAGTGTGCTGTGGCCAGAAATAAAAGAAAGAGGGCTAACCTCTAGACAGTTTTGCTGAATTCAGATTTTAAAATTCTGCCACATAGACTAGCAGGAAAAATGAGAGCGCAAAGCATAGATTTTGCTTTTAAATCATTATAACCCTGTCCACTGGTATCTGTGGCTCAGTGAATGTCCTTGGCTTTTCCCACTAAAACTATAGAACTAGCAATTCCACCCTTGTATGTGTAGGACACACAGCAAAAAAGATAAAGCCTCAGGCTGGGGTTGGCATTGAAAAGGTTAAGCTTGAGATGATTGGAAATTAAAAAAAAAATTACTGGCTGGGCGTGGTGGCTCACGCCATAATACCAGCACTTTGGGAGACCGAAGTGGGAGGACCACTTGAGGCCAGGAGTTTGAGATCAGCTTGGTCAATATAGTGAAACCCCGTCTCTACTAAAAATACAAAAATTACCCGGGCATGATGGTGCATGCCTGTAATCCCAGCTACTCGGGAGGCTGAGGCAGGAGAATCCCCAGCCCGGGAGGCAGAGGTTGCAGTGAGTCAAGACTGCGCCACTGCACTCCAGCCTGGGCTCAAAACAAAACAAAACAGAACAAAAAACAAAAAAATTACTTAGTACTACTTATGGTGCAGGCACTGAGCTAAACAATTTATAAAGATAATCTCATTGGATCCACATGACCCTGGGAGTCAGGGGCTAGTATCGGCCCCATTTTATATAGGTTGAAATGGAGGCTCAAGTGACCAAGTATCTGCATAGGCCACATATTTGGTAAATGGCAGCTCTGAGAAAAGCCCAGGTCCCATGTCAAAGCCCTCCATGCCAAGCATCCAGTAAGGTCATTGCTTTACTCACCCTGTGGCATTGCATCCTGAAGTTTATTTCTATAGCTTCATTATTTTCAAGCCCTCTTATATGTCATCTGAACACCTTTTCACAAAATATGCCAGAGAGATATTATGATCACTATTTAAAGATGAAACACATGGGGCCCCAACTGCTTAAGTGGCTTCATTTAGGTCATGTAGTTAATTAGTGACATAACCAGGATCAGGACCTCTGGCTTCCTCCCTTGTAGGTTTCCCTGAGGACACAGGTGCAAACTCACAGACAAAAGAAAACAGACAAAAGAAAACAGGTTGCAGGCCAGGCCAGGCTAGGCCCTCGGTGCTACGCTGTCAGAAAGCTGTTTATTTTAGCAGCTGCCTGACTTACAGAAGACAGATGCTCCAAGTCTCAGTAAAAAGTCAGATTAAAAAAATATATAATCTATATTATTCTTCCACTAAGTTTCTATCATTTCTTGGTCCTGGTCTTTCTAATACCAGCATAAGCCACACATACAACATTTCATTGACACAGGAACAGGCTGTGAGCTGAAATATGTTCCCTCTGCCTGGCTAAATGTTGCTCCTCCTTCAGGGCTCTCCTGAAATTTTACTTCTTTTACTGAAAGCTTCCCTTGGCCTTGACGTTTCTGCAGGTGGGTGGGTCACCACATCCTCTGCACTTCTGTGTCCCTTTGCAGGTAGGCTACCGAAGCACGTGGGACATTGTAGCTATTTGTAAGTTCCTCGTGACCCCTAGACTGAGAGTCCTTTGAGGGCACATAAGGTTTGCCATGGCAATGCACACACTAAGTCTTGAATTAAAATTTGCTGAATAGATGAATAAGTGAGTGACCAGCTGCTGAAACTGTGGAGGGCTTAGGTTTCATTACAATAAGGAACCACCCTGGATTCCCTCAGTTCCCATTCCCTGCTCTGTACTGCATGTTTTCTGAATACAAATAAAAATTTACTAAGCTGGATGGAAAAATACAAATCTGTGGCTGGTATGGTTTCTAGATTCATTAAACTGAGCCCTGGGAGAAGCTAAACTAATACAATTCTGAAGCTAATCTCTCCTCGAAGTCATTCCATAAATCTGATTAATGGGTCACCTTTAGACCACAAACACGGTTGCTATATTAAAAGAAAATGCTCTAACGGGATTGTAATTCTGTCAACAAGGCTTCTGCTGTTTGTAAAAAGACATTTCCTCACAGTATAAACAAGTCTAGGGTGGATGATGCATGGGCTTAGGTCATGAGCAAAATTCCAAGGGCTCTAGTATTCAATTGCACAAAAATGAAAAAAAAAAGCATCAGTTGCTCAAATGTGTAAATTTGAGGTGAAATAAATAAAATGGATAGGGCTAGGGCATGAGATGTAATTTCTTATGTTGCTTCCCAGAAAAAAAAAAATTGTCCTCTTAAATCTTGTATTCTTTTCCTGACATCTGTCATGTGTCCTTGATATGGCAAAAGGATATGTCTTTTAGCATCCATCAGTTAAGATAATAACTAACACTTATCTATTTAATAGCATGTCTTAGCTTCCTCTGTTGGGGTCTTTCATAGAATCAATCCACTTCAGAGGTGGAAAAACTTTAGGGACATATAGTATAGAATGTCCCAAGATGTGTATATTCCTGCTAATACGTGGAAAGCAATTTACAAAGAGTCAAGTCTCAAAAATATTTTAAAGTGATAGTGTTGAGGACATTGAGGTGGCTTCTCCAACATCTGTTCCTCATTCTGCTGGAAACTATCTTATTTTTAAAAAAACTTTGGCTTTTACATCTTCCTGGAATGGCCCATAGGCTTTCAGGGAAGCTGACTTCATGCTGGGCTCTGTGGGTGGGGACTGTGGCTCAGGTATAACCTAGTTAGTACAATCCCATCTCTTGCCCCTAGGGATTGGTTTAGGGATGAACAAGTGAGGCCACTGAGATGTGAGGAGGCTCTAGGGAGTAGTAAGCTTCCTTGACCTTCCAAGATGGCTACCAGAAGTGTCTTTCTTTCTCTTTTCATACATGATCACATGTAGATGTGAGGGCTGGAGCTGCTGCAGCCATTTCGTTGCCATGAGAGAAGTCTCCCTGAGAGTTAAGATGACACTGAGGAGGGCTGAATGAAAAGGATTGGTGAGAGCTGGATCTAGGACGCTGATTGAACCATGCTGATCACCCTCCTACCTCAGGACACTTGTAATGACTTAAGCCAAGGAAGTCTCTTCGTTGTTTAAACCTGTTAAAATGGAAGTTTCTCCTACTTGTGGCAAAGAACATCTCAACTGACAGCTGGGTTAAACAAAGCTGATAGGCTACTTACTGAGGGTCATCCTAGAACCTTTATTCTATTAATGTGTAAATTTATTTGGCTATGGGTTCTGTTCTTCCTCAGTCCATCTCACAGGACAAGATCTAGTCTGACTCCCAAATTTCACAAAAGTGGAAACTGAGGTCTATATGTTTAAATGACTTTCCTAAGCTATTAATAGTTAGTCTGAGATCTGGGCCTAGACTACAGGCCTCTGCCTCCCAGGCCTGCATTCTTACCTCAAGGTCATACCCTCTCTCTGTCCCTTGAGGATGAACTTCAAAAGAAGAACCTAGGGCCAGAAGTGATGGCATGCCTGCAATCCCACCTACTTGGGAGTTTGAAGAGGACAGCTCAAGCCAAGTTCTAGACCAGCCTGGGCAACGTACCAAGACCCCTGCCCCCACTGCCCACCTCAAAAAAGCATCAACAAAAAAAGAAACTTATTATTCTTTTGCAGAGACTCCAGATTTCTAGAATATTTTGAAGCAAAGTTTGCAAGTTTTTGGGCTCATAAGCAAAATAGAACTTTAGGTTTCAAAAAAATAGGTCTGAAGTGTTTGAAAAAATTACATCAGTTACAAAATAATATAAAATCAGTTAAAAGTCAGGTTATTTCAAATAAAAATATTAATTTTTAGCTGCCCTAATAAAGCTCAGACAATCTGGCAACAACACTAGGCCTGTACTTCTACATAATAACAATTAGCAGAAGCTAAGTGACCAGCTCTGCCTCCTAGGATAAATGCATGGCCTCCCCACTTTGCCATAGTCACCACCATTCCCTATTGCCTCCTAACACTGATGCCAACTGTCATTGGCCATTTATCAGTCCATGAGTAATACTGCTTTTTATAAACTATTCAGTCCATTTAATTACCTATCTGGTCCCTGTAGCCAATTATTTTTGTATACTTGAAAAAGTAAAAATTCCCAAACTTAGATATTAAAAAATATTTCCAAAGCCCAGTAAATGTAAAGCAACACTGAGTTAATCAAAGATGAACAGGTTTCTTTGCTGTGTCTTTTCTTAGTCCTTCATGGGCTATGGGTCCATTGGAGGAGGGCCAGCATATATAATTTGGCCATGCACGTATTTTTTCGGAGACTATTTCTTTGTCACTGTTATTCCACTGAATACACTTTGGGAAATACTGCTATGAAAACTCCATGCTCCTCCCTGCCAGTGAGCTGGTGGACTAATGTTTCTTTTTTCTAGATTGTTATCATCTTGGTTTTCCGATGTTCCCTGGAAGCTATTTTGGAAACAACAACAGCAGCCTGGCCTAGGTCCTGCCAGCTCCCAGCACAGATGAGTCTGTGGTCTAATCCACACTGAGATTATTCCCAAGAACCAGGCCATGATTCTGCGATATTCTGGCAGAGCGAGGAGAACAGGACCAGGCTCACTGCAGCCCACGTGCATTCCTCCCTGAGGCACCAGCTTCCTGGCTTGCCACTGTGTATATTCCATGGAAAAAAAACAAGACAGTAAGGTGGAAAACAAAAAGTGACGGTGGATTGGTGCCAAAAGAAAAACGATGCTTTCTCGGCCGGGCGCGGTGGCTCACGCCTGTAATCCCAGCACTTTGGGAGGCCGAGGCGGGCGGATCACGAAGTCAGGAGATTGAGACCATCCTGGCTAACATGGTGAAACCCCGTCTCTACTAAAAATACAAAAAATTAGCCAGGCGTGATGGCGGGCACCTGTAGTCCCAGCTACTCGGGAGGCTGAGGCAGGAGAATGGCATGAACCCGGGAGGTGGAGCTTGCAGTGAGCTGTGATGGCGCCACTGCACTCCAGCCTGGGCGACAGACCAAGACTCTGTCCCCCAAAAAAAAAAAAAAAAAAAAAAAAGAAGAAGAAGAAAAGAAAAAAAAGAAAAACAATGCTTTCTCAAACACCGCTTTTTCAAAGGAAGGCATCACACCCCAGCAGTGATTTCATCCTCTCTTTATAATTTTCATATTCAAAGGCGAGGAACGACTAAATGTTAACTCTGGCTGTCCAGTGTGCTCATAACATTCAAGACAATTGGATCTAGCTGGAAAAAAAAATTATCCTTCAGATTAATTTTTCTAAACGTGCAACTGTGTCCCTCCAAGCAAAGAGACAAGAAGCTCATTTGCTGCTGAGGGATGAACATGGAGTTTCTTGCAGGGGTTCTTGGATGATATTGGTAAATACCATCTAAAGTCATTGTATTAGATACTCATCTTGGAGGTTTCCCCTGGCTACAATTTTCCAAGTGGAGTTTGACTCATAAATCCTTTCAGCAGCCAGCTCTAAGCTGGCCACCTTTCACTCCCCTGGAGAAGAGAACCCCTCCTTAGAAGTAAGCAGTGCCTAAATGGCTGGAGTACATACCTCGAAGCAAGCCTCTTTCATTCTAACAAGGACCAGAGCCAGTGCGGAATGTCTGCTGAACTGGGCTGGAGAGTCAAAAGGAATGAGATGGCCTAGGGTGCTGCTTGTGAGACATGGATGTTTTCCTTCTTCAGCAAGAAGTCAAGCTCTTACCTGCTAGAGACTCCATCATCTTAGGCTGCCAACTGCTAGCTCTGAAGGTGCTTTGTCCCTCTAGTCTCTCTGTGAGCCCAGACTCAACTCCCTTGCTTCTTTTAGGACTATGTGGGTTATCACAAAGTTGAGACACACTCTAACTCTGTCTTCTTTCCTTGCCAAGTGAGAGCATGTCCTATCCTGACAACCTAGTTTAGTCATTTGCTCAATGAAACCTTTGTAGAACAATGACATGTATAAAATGACATTAAATAAATGTCTAATGACATCAGATAGTCCAGTCATCCTAGAGTTTAATTCTTCAGATTTCAACTCACCCTAAAAAATATTGCATCTCTGTGCTTAATAATATGAGCACTTACACAAGTTAAAACAAGGTTTCTCAGCTTCAGGACAGGTGGTGTGCAGTCTTTGCTTTGGTTAAGACAACATCAGGGAGAACTCCCAAAAACAGAGTTAGTGATGAAGGAAACGTTGGGTTTGACATTCTAAAAATAATGCAATTTCAGCTTGCATTTACTGAGCATTTGTTGTATGTCATACACTGTGCTAAGTATTTTCTAAGAATTATCTCCTGCAACTCTCACAACCACCTCAGGAATTGTTCAAATTTTAGGAATTACAAAATGAATTTCAGAGGTTATATTGCTTGTCTAAAGTCAGGCAGTTAGTAAGTACTGGAGGCTGTTCAACTCAGGCAGTGTGTCTCCTGTTGTGCTTCTCCTAACACAATACTCCATTGCTCCCCCAAATACAGTGATGCCTCTTCCCTCCCAGTGTCCTCAACCAGCCTTAAATGTGCTCATGGCCACACTGGGTTAAGAGGAGATGAGAATATATGCAAAACTGTTAAATGTTAGACACATTTGAAATAGTGAAGAAAATGCTACATGATAAAGACCTCCTAATTTTAAAAGACTGACTCAATCCTCCTTTTTTCTGGATTGTAGACTATAAAGCTCACTGTAGAGAACTGAACAGCTTCCCTGAAATAAAATAATGATATCTCCCTACTCCATCCCTTCTACAAACAGTAACTGCAGTGATAGCAGCCACAAAAAGATCAGGCTGGGCCCAAGACTTCCCCAGAGTTTTTTGCTTTACCTGCTGTAGATGAGGCACTCTCGGTTATTGATGACTTTATCCGATTTGTACCTCCGGAGGTCTTCCCAAGCGTCCTTGATGGCAGTGACTGCCAGGATAACACAGATTGGTATCATGCTCACCTCAGGCTGGAAAGCATTGACCACAGGGATAAAATTCAGAACCGCAATGCCCACAAAATAGAGATTGGCAAACCGGTGTAGCTGCTCAAAAATGTTTTTGGGGACGAAGGACAACACGGTGTACTTGCTGGTCTTGATTTGATTCCCACGATGATGTCTGTTGGGGTTCTCTTTGTGAGACCATCCTTCAAAGAGCAAGTTAGAGACCACTACTCGCTTCTTGTCTTCTTTTCTTTTCCACCTTTTCCTCCCTTCCTTTTTCATCTCTGCTCAATGTTGTCTTTTTAATTCTCATAATTTAATTTTCATCTTTTACTTGCCTTCTTTGCTGAAAATTTTTCTCTCTTCTTTCAGAAGGATACTAAAAATGAAAAGCCAGGCTGCAAACCCCAGGGGAGAAACATGACAAGGAAAGAGCCTGCAGAGAACAGGTGTGTATCCACCAGGCCACTTCCTTCTACTTGTTTGAGACTCCACCTGTTGGAATGTAGACGTCACCTACAGGTGTCTTCCTTTTCCACCCTGGGCAGCCAAGAACAGGTGTACCAACTCTGGGTCCTAAAACCTACCTGGTTCTAAAAGCAAGAATTTTCAACCCAAGCAACTGAGGCTTTAAAATGGCAGACATTTTCTTGGTTTGGGAGACACTGCCTGACATCCTCCAAAGAGTTTCTCCTGAACTTAGTCTCCCAAGATAATCCAGCCATCCTAGAGTTTAATTCTTAAGCTTTCAACTCACCTTTAATAATACTGCATCTGTGTGCTTAATAATATGAGTGCTTATACAACTTAAACAAGTTTTCTCAGCCTCAGCACTATTGACATTTTGACTGGTTAATAATTGTTCCCCGGTGGTGTCCTGTGTATCGTAGGCTATTTAGCAGAACCCCCGGATTTTACCCACTAGATGTCAGTAGTACCCCCTACTCCCAGTATGACAACCAAAAATGTCTTCAGACATTACTAAATGCCCACTAGGGGTCGAAATCACCCCCCCTTGAGAATCAGTGAATTAAATAATTTAGGAAAATAAAATCGAAGAAAAGAGACTCATCCTGAGGCTATGCTGATGAGTTTGCCTAACCCATTTGCAAGAGAGAACACAGGGATGGTTTTTCTTACCTTTCATAAATTCGAATGTTGGAGCAGTTTATTGCTTTATCAAAGCGGTGTCTCTTGAAGTCCTCCATGCCATCCTTGATCATGATGACGAACAGGACAATGGCCAATGGTAACATGGTGATTTCTCTGTGGAAGACTTCCATGGAGGGCATCCAGTTCAAAATCACCAGGAACAGGAAATAGAGGTTAGCCCATCTGGAGGGGCAAGCGAAGTGTGAATAAACACTATGGAGAAGAAAAATGTACTTTCTCCCCCATTTCTTCCCTACTGTTTGGCCTTGATCAATTAAACCTTCTCTTTCAGTATCACCTCAAACATTATGGTAATGGATTTGAAGCCAAACCCATCTAGATGTATTTATTATTTCCATAGATTATTGGGGAACAGGTGGTGTTTGGTTACATGAGTAAGTTCTTTAGTGGTGATTTGTGAGATTTTGGTGCATCCATCACCCGAGCAGTATACTCTGCACCCAATTTGTAGTCTTTTATTCCTCTCCCCTTCTCACCCTTTCCCCCTAAGTCCCCAAAGTTTGTTTTGTCATGCTTATGGATGAGACTGGAGATGATTATTCTCAGGAATGGAAAACCATCTAGATTTAAATTCTGTTCCTGTTATTTACTCGTTGTGTGATTTTTTTGAGCTTATTTCCTCTTGCACAAAATGGGGATAGTATTATGGACTTTAAAGGGGTCCCATAAATATTACATGATTTATAATATTTGCATGATATACAGCAGAGGGCTCTGGAGCATAGCAGTTGCTCAGTAAATGGTCACTTATAATAATAATTACAATATTGAGGGTGATATATAAGCACATATTTTAACTTTTAATTTAAAATGATCTCATACATTATCTCAAAAGAGTTGCTGATGTTTTCAAGTTTTCCACGTGCATCTTGCTCTCTCTTGCCACAGTGCCTTTGCATGTACAGGTCTGTCTGCAGGAACATTCTGCTGACTTCTGTCCATCCCTTTTCACTCAGGTAATGCAGTCTCTCTTTCATGTTGTACTTCAATTCCCTGACTTTCTTAACTAGGCCAAGATTTCCTTATTATTCACTATAATAGCACCATATACCTCTCCTTAGAAGTATCTATTGTAGTTACAACTTTATATCAATTTATATAATTAAAAAACTAATGTCTGTCTCTTTTACTAGACAATATATTCAATAAGGACAGTATCTCTCTGCCTCTCCATTTTTTTTATGTATCTCTAGCTCCCAGCTTATGGCCTGAGACAGCATAGAACCTGACAAATATTTGTTGAATGAAAGAATGAATGAAAAAACTTCTTAAGACAAATGCATTTGGATATTAAAGGAAAGGTGGCCCCCAGAGGGTAGCATCTCTGAGTTTATCTAAGTGGTAAATACTTGTTTAAAATATGTATTGGTGGCCGGGTGTGGTGGCTCACTCCTGTAATCCCATCTCTTTGGGAGGTTGAGGCAGGCGGATCACTGGAGCCCAGGAGTTAGAGACCAGCTTGGGCAACGTGGCAAAACCCCATATCTACATAAAAGTACAAAAATTTGCCGGGCATGGTGGTGCACGCCTGTGGTCCCAGCTATTTGGGAGGCTGAGGTGGGAGATTCCCTTGAACCCAGGAGGTGAAGGTTGCAGTGAGCCGAGATTGCACGACTATACTCCAGCCTGGGGAACAGAATGAGACTCTTTCTCTAAAAAGAGTATTGTTCAGACAAGTGGATCTCTACCTATGAAATTGCTCAAAGAGATTCCGGGGCAGGAAGGTGAAGAGGGTGTATTTGGTTGTGCAGGTTCTGTTGCCAGGGTATCTCCTGGAGACCTCTTCCCAATCTTGATGGAATATGCTGTTGTTGGGGAACACGACCCGCTGCTGTGTCAAGTTGTAGCTCTGTCTCCCTTTCTCTGGAGAGAGCAGCGGTGTGGTTTCCGATGGACAATGGGGGAAGCCATCTCTGACTCTCCACTGCCACCGATGCCACGATGAGTCCACTGAGAGGGCCATTTCCAGCAGCAGGCGAAGATCTGAAAACAGACACAGGAGGAGCTATGTTTAGGAGAAACGTGCAGCATGTTGGCCTGTTCATTTCTCCCCCATCCATGCAGGGTAGACACTGAAAGTAGTCTTAACCCACACTTTGACCTACTTCCTTGTAACTAAAGGTCACTAGATCCTGACCATTTGCTTCCCTGTTGTTCCTAAAGATAGGATTTCTGACATTAGAGTCATAAGGATTTTGTTTAAGATTGAGTATCTGAGGTTAGAATCCCTATGTTCTAGGGTGACACACTAAACAAATAATCACATAAATAACATGCTCCTAACACTGGAATACGTGCCATGGGAGCATTGAAGTGGGTGGGACGTGCTTTTGGCCTAATTGGGGCTGTCAGGGATAGCTAAAGTGTGGCTTGCTGGGCTATGACCCTGCAGGTCAGAAGACTAGCTCTGGTTCAGTCCTAGTGGGGAGCTGTTCCTTCACCTTCAACTGATCTCCAGCTTCCTCACTGTGAAATCAGGAACACTATTCTTTCTATACTTATTCCACAAGATTTTTGTGAGGAACAAATTGGATAGTACAGAAAAATATATTGGGACACATCTTAAAACAAAGGAAAAGGTACCTATTCTTTAGGTTTTCTTTGGCGCTAACATTTTCTGATTCTGATGACATTTTCCAGAAACTCACCTGTGGCCGGAACCTCAAAGGAGAGTGATAAGTAGAATAGATGGGAGAGGTTCTTTCCTAGGAAATTTGTCCATGAGGTGACTGGGCTGTGCTACTGTCCAGTCAGCTGGCTTTTCTTAATCTAGATGGCTGGAGTTGGGGATAGGGGATCCCTTTTCTTTTTCTCCACTCCATTTGGTGGTTTCTGAAACCAAGTACTTGATTAAGCAGATGGTCTGCCCAGGTGGCAAAGAAATGCTGCTTTACAGCACATCAAAAAGCTTGTCCACCACCATCGAGTCAGCTTCATCCCTGGGATGCAAGGCTGGTTCAACATACACAAATCAATAAACGTAATTCATCACATAAACAGACACCATGACAAAAACCATATGATTACCTCAATAGATGCAGAAAAGGCCTTTGATAAAATTCAACACCCTTCATGCTAAAAACTCTCAATAAACTAGGTATTGATGGAAAGTATCTCGAAATAATAAGAGCCATTTATTACAAACCCACAACCAATATCATACTGAATGGAAAAAGCTGGAAGCATTCCCTTTGGAAACCAGCACAAGACAAGGATGCCCTCTCTTACCACTCCTGTTCAACATAGTGTTGGAAATTCTGTCCAGGGCAATCAGGCAAGAGAAAGAAATAAAGGTATTCGAATAGGAAGAGAGAGAGTCAAATGGTCTATGTTTGCAGATGACATGATTGTATATTTAGAAAACCCCATATTCTCAGCCCCAAATCTCCCTAAGCTGATAAGCAACTTCAGCAAAATCTCAGGATACAAAATCAATGTGCAAAAATCACAAGCATTCCTACATAGCAATAATAGACAAACAGAGAGCCAAATCATGAGTGAACTCCCCTTCACAAATGCTACAAAGAGAATAAAATACCTAGGAATACAACTTACAAGGGATGTGAGGGACCACTTCAAAGAGAACTACAAACCACTGGTCACACAAATGGAAAAACATTCCATGATCATGGATAGGAAAAATCAATATCGTGAAAATGGCCATACTGCCCAAAGTAATTTATAGATTCAATGCTATACCCATCAAGCTACCATTGACTTTCTTCACAGAATTTGAAAAAACTACTTTAAATTTCATATGTAACCAAAAAAGAGCCCATATAGCCAAGGCAATCCTAAGCAAAAAAAGCAAAGCTGGAGGCATCATGCTACCTGACTTCAAACTATACTACAAGGCTACAGTAACCAAAACAGCATGATACTGGTACCAAAACAGAGATATAGACCAATGGAACAGAACAGAGGACTCAGAAATAATGCCACACATCTACAACCATCTGATCTTTGACAAACCTGACAAAAACGAGCAATGGGGAAAGGATTCCTTATTTAATAAATGGTGCTGGGAAAGCTGACTAGCCATATGCAGAAACTGAAACTGGACACCTTCCTTACACATTATACAAAAATTAACTCAAGATGGATTAAAGATTTAAAGGTAAGACCCAAAACCATAAAAACCCTAGAAGAAAACCTAGGCAAAACCATTCAGGACATAGGCATGGGCAAAGACTTCATGACTAAAACACCAAAAGCAATGGCAACAAAAGCCAAAATTGACAAATGGGATCTAATTAAACTAAAGAGCTTCTGCACAGCAAAAGAAACTATCATCAGGGTGAACAGGAAACCTACAGAATGGGAGAAAATTTTTGCAATCTATGCATCTGACAAAGGGCTAATATCCAGAATCTACAAAGAATTTAAACAAATTTCCAAGAAAAAACCAACAATCCCATCAAAAAGTGGGCAAAGGACATGAACAGACACTTCTCAAAAGACGACATTTATGTGGCCAACAAACATATGAAAAAAAGGTCATCATCACTAGTTGTTAGAGAAATGCAAATCAAAACCACAATGAGATACCATCTCAAGCCAGTTAGAATGGTGATCATTAAAAAGTCAGGAAACAACAGATACTGGAGAGGATATGGAGTAATAAGAATGCTTTTACACTGTTGGTGGGAGTGTAAATTAGTTCAATCATTGTGGAAGAGAGTGTGGTGATTTCTCAAGGATCTAGAACCAGAAGAACCATTTGACCCAGCAATCCCATTACTGGGGATATACCCAAAGGATTATAAATCATTCTTCTACAAAGACACATGCACACGTATCTTTATTGCAGCACTCTTCACAATAGCAAAGACTTGGAACCAACCCAAATGCCCATTAATGATAGACTGGATAAAGAAAATGTGGCACATACATAGCATGGAATATTAGGCAGCCATAAAAAAGGATGAGTTCATATACTTTGTAGGGACATGGATGAAGCTGGAAACCATCATTCTCAGCAAACTAACACAGGAACAGAAAACCAAACACCACATGTTCTCACTCATAATTGGGAGTTGCACTATGAGAACACATGGACACAGGGAGGGGAATATCACACACCAGGGCCTGTTGTGGGGTTAGGGGCTAGGGGAGGGATAGCATTAGAAGAAATACCTAATATAGATGACGGGTTGATGGGTGCAGAAAACTACCATGGCACAGGTATACTTATGTACACAAACCTGCACATTCTGCACATATATCCCAGAACTTAAAGTATAATAATGATTAAAAAAAATGCTGCTTTACCTAGGAGTTTCCAGTTTCTGAACTCTTTTAAATAAACCCTACAAGCAAACTCTCAAGGTTCTTTTTGGCCAAATTTTTCTTAAAGACCCAGAAGGATATTATTCAAAGATACATTTTATAAAGTTAGAAGTTGTATATAATGGTCCTTCTCATGTAGTAGGCTCATAGGATAATTTTCTTTTGAATAAGTGGATGAGTGAATGTCAAGTACTATTAATCTTACAATTAATTACCCAGCTTGTCATGGTAAATATGATCACTTAGGAAAAAAAGTTTTATTTCTAGTTTAAATGGTAATATTTTACTTTCCTGATGCCCATATGATCTGACCCTCATCATAATTCTTCTCATAGCTTTCGTCAATCCAACTGATTTTCAGTCCACAGACCCCAAGCCTGCAGGAAGCTCTTCAGAGACTAAGTAAGCCCTTGTAGCAAGCCTGAAAAGGTAAATGTAATTACGGATGCCTATCATAATGTGACCAAAAGCAACCTTATAACATTTAGCAAGCTGGAAATAATATTGTGTATCTTCTTTGCTATTATAAAAAATGCACCTTCATGGATTTCTTTTTTACTGCAAAGGAAAAGGAAATGAAAAGATAATTTATGAATAGCATTGAAAATGCAAATGAGAAATCTTGCCTTGGTTAATGCCATCCATATCAGACTTCTCTCACTATTAGGTGGTAAGATCTTCTTAAATGAAGAGATTGGATTGATGTGGGAAATGTAGTTATTTTCGGTGGAGTAGGATTAAAAGTCCATTTATCATAAGAATAGTCTTTACTTTTTTTAACCATGTAAGATGAGCTTCCTTAAAAGTAAAGCAGATATAACTTGGATGCCAAATTAGTGAATGAAAGTTTGATGAGGAACTAAATATTTATATAGTTTCAAAGTATCCTCCCCCAATATTATTCATTATAATGATAAAAAGAATCACTTTTTAGTGGAGAAATGTGGCAGACACCACCTTACAACAGAGATCAAAGCAAGTATTGAAGCTGTCCTCACAGGGCTAACAAGAATTCTGGACAGAAATAGAGTCATAACTAAGCATTAATCAGGCTGCACTTTGACCTACTTCCTTGTAACTGAAAGTCACTAGATCCTGACCATTTGCTTCCCCATTGCTCCTAAAGATAGGATTTCTGACATTAGAGTCATAAGGGTTTTGTTTAAGATTGAGTTTCTGATGTTAGAATCATAAAGCTTTTGTTTAAGAATTGCTGAAGATGTTTTTCAGATTCTGAAGTCCGGTGAAACAGCTGACGCCAACCAGTTTGAAGACCCCACATAGGAACAGAATCAGCATGAGGACAGTTTCTTCATCTGTCTGTCCTATGATTTCACCCTGCACTCTTTGACCAATCAACAATCTTCACACTTCTGCCTGTTCTAAAACTCTTATAAACTTTAGCCCCAAACTCCTCACGGAGGTGGATTTGAGGTTTCCTCCCATCTCTTTATTCGGTAGCCCTCCAATTAAATCTCTTTCTCCTGCAACTTGACATCTTGGCATATTGATTTGCTGCACATATTGGGCGCTGGACCTATTATGGCTATAGTATCACAAATATTGAGATAAAATGACATCTTTTGCCTCCTGATATGATGTATTGAGAACATGAGTTACCTCTCTGGTAGAAACACTAAAAAACCTCAAATTGGGGGGCTATTCTATAAAACAACTGGCCTGTGTTTTTCAAGTGTAAATGGTCAAAAAAGGGGCAAAATAATTGTTTATGATTAAAATAAACTAAAAATAAAAACTAAATGTAATGCATAATTCTCGGTTGAATCCTATACTAGAGGAAGATAAAATAGGTATAAAGGGCATTATTGGACAATGGGCAAAATCTGAATATAAACTACAGTTAGGTAATAGCATTTTAACAATCTCAAATTTCCTGATTTTGATAATTATATTGTGGTTATACATAAAAACACTCTTGGTTTTAGGAAATCCACCCCAAAGTATTTAGAGGTAAAGGGCAAGATGTTTCCATGGGTCAGAAAACACACACACACACACACACACACACACACACACACACACACACACACACACAGTGGTATAGTCAGGGAAGGGCTCGTGGGAAAAGGAACATTTATTTAAAGTTACCTGAAGAAACGCAGGAGTTAGCTAGGTAGAGAGGTTGGGGAAGAGTGCTCCAGGTAGAAGAACGAGTTCCAGAAACGGGAAGAAGTTCCTGAGGTGTTGCATAGAGCAGAGGTCTTCAACCTTTTTGGCACCAGGGACTGGTTTCATGGAAGACAATTTTTCCATGGACAGTGGTTGGGGGATAGTTTTGGGATGAAACTGTTCCACCTCAGATTATCAGGCATTCCTTAGATTCTCATAAGGAGGGCGTGACCTAGATCCCTCGCATGCACAATTCACAATAGCATTGCATTCCTATGAGAATTTAATGTCTCCACTGATCTGACAGCAGGCAATGCTCGCCTGCCACTTACCTCCTGCTGCGCAGCATGGTTCCCAACAGGCCATGGACTGCTATGGGCCCGTGGCCCAGGGACTGGGGACTCCTGGTGTAGAGTACATGGAACGGGAGACAAAGAGTGGGCAGAAGCTGAGGCTGGAGAGACAGCCCAGGGTCAGATGGCCTGCTGAGGCTGTTATGCTGAGGGCAAGAGAGAGTCTGAAGAGTGCCAGGGAAATGACACATTGTGAGTGCGGATTCCAAGCATCATTCTGGCCGAAGCACATAAGGGTGGGCTGGAGGGACCGAAACTGGGGGCTAGAGGCAGCTCTTTGACCCACTGCCCCTCTCCCCTCCAAATAAAATACTTCTTCCTGAGAGTGGAACAGGAAACAAAGAGGGATTGCATAATCCCATTATCTGAGGTGTGGTTTATTGCTGCCTGCAGAAAGTTTAGGGTGGGGCACACCTGAAGAACTCCCTAAGTTCCTTCCAGTTGTAAAGCCTTTGTCTCATTCTAGATTTTTGAAATGGCACCTCCCACTAAAAATAACTTGAGGATTACCTAATTTTGCTAATTTATACTCAGATCACCTCAGGCTTGAAGTGATAATCCTCTCAAGCACCAGCCTTATTCTCTTCTAGGTACAATGTCCTCTAGATGATAAGAAGACAATCCTATATGGGGGACCTTTAGCCTAACAAGCTGGGCTAACTTCAGTTTTTTGAGGAATTCTGTTTCTCTCTCCCAAACTTTCTCCACGTTACCTGGCTCACATTTCCAATTGACTCCAGTTCCTTTCTGTTTCATTTTAATGAGCCCAAATAAACCCCATCTCTAGCAAGTTCCATTTTCACTGTTACGGGATAAATCAACTAGTCATTCATTCAATCAACAAATACTTATTGAATCCTCGTTTATATACCAGGTGAGTAAAACCTACCCATGCATCCCTTTCTGCCTGAGCTTACATTAGGTGTCTGGGAGATTTTAAACATACACGTTTAGAAATAAATATATATTCACCAACCAGGAAAAGTGCCACTGTCAAAAGACAAAATCACAACAGGTTTAAAGATCTTAATTAACTTTATTTTTGGTTCTAAAATTGGGCAGCACTTCATTTCATAAAATATAATCAGCGTTCCAATGAGCTGAGCAGAGGAGATTGGCTTTATAGAAAGGGCTGAAGAAAGCAGAAACACAAAACAAAAATGATTTCGTCATTTCAAAATTAGTTTCCTTGTAAGGGAGGAACAGGAAACAGAACAATAGAAAAATAACTGACTGGGTAACATCAGGTTACTTTTATTGTAAGGATTAAAGGCAGGGGCAACTTCCTTTTCATACCAATTGAAACTGACCTATTTGGGAAATTATGTCTCTCTCTTGATTTCTCTGAAGGTTGATAACAATTTAGTTTTAGTTTAGTGAAAATGACTCCACTCTAATTTTTAGTCTAGTCTGTTGGGGCCTAGCTTTGTCCAAAACAATGGCCTCCTGTAATTTTTATTTAATACCACAAAAGAGAGAGGGTGCAGTGAGCACATTACAGAGGGATGGGACCTTGTGTCCCAAGAGGTGGGGCTTGAACTGAGATCAGGGAATGAGTGAGAGGTGGCTGGATGGAGTACTACTGTGTGTATATATGCGTGAGTGAGTGTGTGTGTGTGTGTGTGTGTGTGTGTGTGTATGTGCTGTGTTTCTGAAAGTAAGCATCCTAGGAAGACAAAGCCATAGTTGCAAGTCTTCTGTGGCTACAGTAAACATGTTGACTTCAAGAATGGATAGAAGACCCAAGTAGGCTAAAAAGCAGAAATAAGTCTTTACTAGAGAATTATTTTTCCTCCATACCCAATTCTCTAAAAAGCATATCAGTGGGTTAGGACTATGGGAGAAAAATCTATAAAATTAAGTTTAATCTATACTTAGATTATTGATAAAATAATATAAAACCCTGATATTAGAATGAATTAGAATTTTAAAAAGTTTGGCCTTCAGTTAACTACAGGCGTTTTTAAAGCACTCTACCCTGAGGACAAAATGTGTAAATCGCAGGAAAAAAAAAGAAAAGATTTCCTATTAGATATCTAGTTAACAAATAATAACCACTGTAGAAGAAATAGTCTGGAGTTAGCAGATCTTCAAATCAATAAGTATATCAGTTTTTCACAAATTACAGTCATTCTTGAATCATCTTCTCAATTTTTACCACACCCAAATAGCATTTTTATTAAATGCAATATATTTTACTTTAGGTGAACTCACTTCTCAAAAGCTTCAATTTTTTTTTCACTGAGATAGTCTCACTCTGTCGCCCAGGCTGGAGTGCAATGGCATGATCTTGGCTCACTGCAACCTCTGCCTCCCAGGTTCAAGTGATTCTCCTGCCTTAGCCTCCTGAGTAGCTGGGATTACAGGCACCCGCCATCATGCCTGGCAAAATTTTTTGTGTTTTTTTGTAGAGACACGGTTTCCCATTTTGGCCAGGCTGGTCTTGAACTCCTGACCTCAGGTGATCCACCCACCTCAGCCTCCCAAAGTGCTGGGATTACAGGCATGAGCCACCATGCCTGGCCAAAAGCTTCAATATTAACTTTGGTTTTGAGCTAAACCTTAATACCAAAATGAAGTGGTTTGACAGTATTGATATGTTTTTTTAATAGGCACTGACAGGAACTACTTTTATTAAAATAAAAACTCTTGATCCCTTATGACAACATTGGCCTACACCTCTATGTCTCTATTTGCTGTTCTGGGAACCAGGTTCAGAAACATCACCACTCACCCAGAAAGGATCAGTCATTTCCATTATTTGTGGCTTACCTACTAATGCAGGAAAGGCTGCTAACATGGTTTGCAAGTTTCTTCCCCTCAACACAAAGTCAAAACAATAACAACAACAACAAACAACAGGTTTTTCATCAACCCTGAATTCAATAAAAAAACTCAGTGAGCCAGATTCCTATCCATGCACCCAAGCATTGTAGTAGATCAAGGAATGATTTGCAGTAAAACAATCTCATCATAAATTTCTTATCCATTTTGCTTTTTCTACTTATTTTGATTGGATTTGCTTGAGGAATGACCATCACTTAGTCTTTTACTGATTTTACCGAAACCCATTTACAGAGGAAGAAACAAAGATAAGGGGAATAGAGTGATTTCTCTGTAGAACTTGTCATTTCTTCCTAATCCATTTCAGTAAAAGCTATATTTATTAGAATACAAAATGTCCTTTTTCCACATTTTAATAAATTTTTGAAACTAGATTGTTTCACACAATTGCTATGTTAGTGTTTATTTACTTACACTCACAAAGTATTATTAAATTGATGACATTTTAGATTCAAAAAAGATATCTAGTTGCAGACAAATATGCCAGAAAACAGAAATTGCCATTTGAAAGACCCTCCATAAGTTTTGTAGTGTGGACCTGCCCAGGAAAATTCAGTGAGGCCTTCGTGGGAAAGGAATAGTCTTAGCGGAGACCTTATTCTGCAGTGGAGTTTGGATAGGCTAGAAGACTTGGGGAAGGCCGAACTTTAGCATTCCCATTTGCACTGTACTCAGCTACAGGCATCTACATATAGCTGCTTGTATGGAATCAGTTCTTATGAGCACAAAAAAGTGCTCTGTCCTTCCCAATGGGAAGAACAAGAGCTGTGATTGTGCCTTATTCACAGGCTACAAAACATGTCCTATAATTAGGATGCCAGAAGCTGACTTCCTCTAGAGAGAAAGAAACATTAAGAAGAAATGTATGCAGGGTGGGGTGGGGTGGGGATTGTTGTCTTTGGTTGGTAAAAGTGGGGACTAGTGGAAAAGAGAGAGTGAGAAAGAAATAGCAACCACCTAAAATAAAATTAATGAAAGGATGCAGTTCTGTAGAAGATAATTAAAATACATGATAAATGTAATCCTATAGAATGGGCCTTTGTGGGAAAGGAAAGATGGAAGGAGAGTCTGTTCCATAACTCAAGCATCTTCAGCATGCCACACTCAGCCCTCATCACTAGTCCTTGAGTCAATTAAAGCTTTTAACCCCCGATTGGTTTTCTCCTAGCTCCCCAACTCATAAGAGCTTTACTCCAACAGATTTCCAAAGATGAATATTTTTTTAACAGACAAGAAAATATTTCTCATCTGCCACATTACACTTTATCACCTGCCAAGTTCATTAGAGTTTAGAGTCTCACAAATTATCTTGCAAGCTAGTCTCCAATTTGGTGTATTTGGAGCTCGGATTTCTCCCTCGAACTTTACATCAAAATATCCTACTGCTTATGTGCCATTTCTACTTGTTTTCTAGGTATTTCAACTTTAACATTGTAAAACTCTTGGATTCTCTCCAAAATTCACTTTAGTTCCAGGAGTACCCATTTCCGTGAATAGCATCTCTGTTTACCTTAATGACTTAAGAGTAACCTTTGACCTCTCTTTCATTTACTACAGCCAATCTATTTTTAAGTTTTATCCATTTTTTCCCTTTAAATATTTTTCAAATCCATTTTCTTCTTAACCACTGCTCCTGGCCAAGCCACTATTTTTAAGTGTCGCAGATACTGTTGAGATTAATATATTATAATTTTATTCAAAGGCATTATTAATTTTATGGTAGGATTTGCAATTATATATTTTCTCGATTAATTAATACCAGAATTATAGCTACTATCAGGCAGAAGTTGTAAATTCTTTGATGACAGAAGAGATCTTTCACACACTGGTGTGCTAAAGACATTTGGACACATTGGTATTGTAAAGGGAGCCCAGAACTGAAAGCAGGGTACAAGGTGAAGTGCAGAGAGGAAAATCAGTGATGCAGAGTCCCTGACATAATAAAATGGTTGGGAGATGAGATATATATATATACATGGAAAGGTACTGAATAGGCTACCAATGGGAAATTGAAAGAATGGCAGACAGTAAGGACCAGAAGTTGTTAGAGATGTAAGAAAACACAGTTGACTGAGAAGGACAAGGCAAGCGTCTTGGGGAAGTAGAAATAGCCAATTAGTGAATTAGAGAGTTGAGTAGCCAGAGGCAGGCGTGAATCCAGAAAGCACAAGAATAGGCAAATGAGAAGCTTCACTTCTCATCCCCATGTCAGACCCCCTGAATCAGAAGTTCTGGGGATGGGGGTGGAAAATCTGCACTCTTCACCAGCTCCTAGGTCATTCTAATGTAGGGGTTGCCAAATAGCAAATCTGGAGAGACACTGCCTTTTATGCTCACCTATGTGTTCTCCCTTGAAAACTCGAACTACCTTTTCCCATTTTCTTCCCTTTATTCTAAGCCTGATCTCCCAGGTATCTTCCTAATGAAAGGCAAAATATCTTGGGAAATAAAAAGACAGTGCAGGCAATATTTCCTTTGTGAGAGACAGGTAAAATGAGATGCATAATTTCATTTTTAACATCCCTCTAGGCAGAAATGTGATTTCACTTAAAAATTGTTTTATAGATTCTTTTGGTATGTTTTACTGACAAAATAATTAAGTTGGATCTAATTAAAAGTAAATAAATCTCTCACAGAAGCTGGATGAATCAGTGCTGAGCTGAGAGGTGATAAAAGTTGTTCAAAGTTCATGAAGCTGAAAGCAATTAAAAGACAATAGTACACATTGACTGGCTCAGTTCACTTCAAACATATCCATGGTCTGTGAGTTACATACCAATTAGTACACCCCGGAAGAACTGAGGTGGGGGCAGGCATGGAGCAAGATCTGGGAAATTTTGGAGCAGCTTCCTTAATGGACTAGGCATCTGGCTTAGCACAGAGAATGTGGCACCAGATTTGTGAAATGGAGTGAGAAAAACTGATATGATAGTGGCTGCCTTCAGAGTTTTCCTAGGGAAGGAATATACTTTTAATCAGCATTTGGGGTAAAAGGCAAAGGGACAAGAATTAAGGAGAAAAGGAAAAGGGGGAGGGAAAGGGAGGGCAAATTAGCTGGCAAAAGCATGAGAAATAGAGATAAGATGGTAGCAGGTTTGGTGTCTGTGTTGGCAGAAAAGGGCAGAGAGATTTTTTAAAAAGTCAATATTCACTTAGAAATATGTAAAATATTATAATATAATATAATGTCCTTCCATGTTACTTTAAAATTGTTAGTGAAACTTCACAAAATAGAATTGTCAACTATGAAAGGCATCATTTGACTGGGGGTCTAGAAGTCATGAAGAAGGGGCTGTCCCCTTCTTTGGTTTCAGGCCAAAGGGAAATGATTAAAGAAAAGCCACAGGAAAGAGTGGAGAATGAGAAATACAGAAAATTCTGGAAATCAGAACCAGGGATGACTGGGAAAAACATAAGTCCCAGAGGAATTTTAGAAGTTGTGGGGGAAGTGGCACTGGATGTTCCTTAGGATCTGGGTTGGGGATTCAAGTGATTTCATCTAAGCGTTAAAGGACAAGGTAAGACAAGCCAAGATATCTGGCTTCTATATCCCACTAACCAGCTGTGTGGCCATGGGCAAGTCATTCTCCCTGGGCCCTAGTTTCTTCCTCTGTAAAATGGGAGAATTGGACTAAGTAATCCTTAAGACCCATATACATCTCTAGCACTTTCATCTCAAGTTTAATTCTCACCTCGACTTATGTCAAGTCCAGGGGGATGCATGACCATGTTAAGGGACATTTCCAGAGGGCAGACTATTTCTTCCCCAAACGGCAGCCTGGACTCTCCATGAAAGGTAAGTGATCTCACAGCACATAATTGCTAAGTAGCTGCTTCTTTTTTCAGAAATGGAGAACTTTTCATTCCTCTGTTTTGTCTGAGTTACTTTTTCATAGGTGCTTTGGGCTGGACATTCTCACACTTCCAAAAAATAGCAGAACCCTCTCAACTTTATTATTTTTCCTCTTTTATTAGATTAATAATAACAGAGTTCTCAAAAGGTCTCCGTGTTTCAAACTTCTAGTCCCAAAGTAGGGAGGAATTTCAAGAAAGATCCAACTGTCTATTGAACATTGCCCCTTGGATGTCTCCTGAGAACGTCAATCTCAGTTTGCCTCCAAACAGCCTCAGTATCTTTACCCCTACATCTGCACTTGCCCCCTATTACCTCTCTCATGGAATGGCAACCCTACCCTTTCGGTTGCCCAAGACTTTGATTCCTCTTTTACCTCTCATATCCAATCAATTATCAAGTCCTGTTGGTTGTAAGCCATTACATGTGTGTCTGTTTGCTTCACTCTCCTCTGGACCCATTGCCACACACCCATCCAGGCCACTCTCATCTCTAGCTGTGCTTACTTGGCCTCGTGATTTGTCCCTCTGCTGCCAGTTTTGCCCCCTCTAGTCTCTTTTCCACAGTGAAATCAGAAATACTTCGCCAAACTCTAGATCGACTCATGCCATCTCCTTGCCTAAAATCCTCTCTGATTTTAATTTCCCTCAGACAGCATAAGGAACAAAACTTAAACATAATTTACAACTCCTTCCCCTCATAAACTAGACACAGACTTTCTTCCCAGCCCTGTCTTTTGTTATCCTCTCTTTTACATTCTAGTCATAAGGAAATTATTTTGTGTCCATCTTTCTCTCCCACTGACACACCATCATTACCAGCATGCTGTAACCCACTTCCCATGCTCAAAAAGCCTAGCTAATTTATGATTGAGGGGCTATGTGTGTGCTCCACAGTACTCTTCCTTATCCCATTTTAGCCCTTAGTTCTGGGTAGTGAACCTCTGTACAAGTCTGGATTGAGGGATTCTACAAGGCAATCACCCTTCTACCCTAGAGCTGCCTGAGAGCAGTCACTACTCTACCCTCTACAGTGCCTGCTGGAAGTAGTCACCCCCTCCTACCCTAATGTCTCCTGGGAGCAGTTACTCATCTATCCCAGTGCCTCCTGGGAATAGTCACACCTCTACCCAATGCCTTCTGGGAACAGTCACCCCTCTGCCCCAGTGCCTCCTGGGAGAAGTCACCCTTTTATTCTAATGCCTCCTGGGAAGTCACCCCTCTACCCCAGTGCTTCCTGGGAGCAGTCACCCTTCTATTCTAATGCCTCCTGGGAGCAGTTACCCCTCTGCCCCAGTGCCTCCTGGGAGCAGTCATCATTCTATTCCAATGCCTCCCGGGAGCAGTCACCCCTCTCCCGAGGGCCTCTTGGGAGCAGTCACTACTCTACCTCAGTGCCTCCTGGGAACAGTAACCCCTCTACCCCAGTACTTTATGAGGTCAGTTGCCACTCTAACCCCCAGTGCTCCTGGGAGCACTTACCCCTCTACCCTATTGCCTTGTGAGGACAGTCATCACTTTACACCTCCTTCCTAGGTACAATGACTGACAGACACTAAGAAATACTTCACTTATTTGATAAACAAAAAACAATAATTTGTAATTTAAAATTATTTAAAAATATTTCAAAGAAACTTATTTCTATTATCTCATTTTATTCCCCAAATAATCCTATGAGGTAAATTGGGCTTGTATTGTAATGGTTCTTTTCAGCCGTAGGCATTAAATTCCTCAAAATCTCCAGTTAGAAGTAACTGTGGTTAAGGAACTTGAGAAATCATAATAGAAGTTCCCTGTTTTTGGACCAAATTTTGGGAGTATAACAAAAAACATTTTAAGCAAAACAACCACGGTAGCATGCAAAATAACGTCAATATAAATGACACTTATTCATGTAATTAACAATGTGTATGATGCAATTTCACTTGGGATCTCCTCCTCAGAACTTTTTAATGCTTGCCTCTCCTGACACAAGAAACTTGAAATTAATTTTGTTTGTAGCTAACATCTGTTATGAAATATTAAATAAAAATTATTTTGATTTTATGACTCAGGGCTTTTGACTTTTGTCTCCTTTGATCTGAGGGAATTATGAAAAACTGAATTTTTGAGATTGGTGAATTACTGGGGAAGTGTTTTGAAACTCCTTTCCCATTATACAAGATTACAAGTTCTTAACTCTGTTCAGGAGAATTTCTGGCCAAGATACTTGTAACAGGATGCTCTGTCTCAGGAAAGGCTTTCCCAGTAGAACCAAGGTACACTTCTAAGAATACAATTCACCTGCTTTCAATATTATTTATCTTTTAATAGTAGTTTATGCCACCTCTATTTTCTATATACCATTTTTATTCTTACCTAACCCTTTAGTTTCCTCTTTTCTTAAAAATGACTTGATATTTGCATATGCTAGAACTGAATATATACTGGAACTGAAACTGTTGGGGTCAACTAGAAGATCTGCAGAAGCAAATTTGTTCATACTGGATTTTCATATGTGATGAAATTGTGGTTTGGAGGATGTGACTGTGGGTAATTATTCATTTTTCCATATATTAGAGATGAATCTGATTGCCCTTTCTTCTGAAATATTTATAATAATTTATTATGTATATAATTACATATAGGCGTAACTCGGAGACTGTGGGTTTGGTTCCAGAATACGACAATGAAGTGAATGTTGCAATGAAGTGAGTCACATACATTTTTTAGTTCCCCAGTGCATAGAAAAGCTATGTTTTATACTATACTGTAGTCTATTGTGTGCAATAGCATTATGTCTAAAAAATACATAGCTTAATTAAAAAATACTTTATTGCTAATAAATGTCAGCCATCATCTGAGCTTATAAAAATAGTCATAATCTTTTTGCTGTTGGAGAGTTTTGTCTTGATGATATTTGTTTTTTTTTTTTTTAGATGGAGTCTCACTCTTGTCACTCAGGCTGGAGTGCATGGTGCGATCTTGGCTCACTGCAACCTCTGCCTCCTGGATTCAAGCCATTCTCCTGCCTCAGCCTTCTGGGTAGCTGGGGCTACAGGCACCTGGGTAATTTTTGAATTTTTAGTAAAAATGAGGTTTCATCATGTTGGCCAGGTTGGTCTTGAACGCCTGACCTCAGGTGATCCATCAGCCTTGGCCTCCCATAGTGCTGGGATTACAGGTGTGAGTCACTGTGCCTGGCTTGTCTTGATGTTATGGCTGTTAACTGATAAGGGGGGTGGTGACTGCAGCCTTATGAAATGTATTTCTTAAGTAATAAGACTTGAAAGTTGAGATTACGCCTTCATCCATAAACTACAGAATGAATATTATGTTAGCATGCATGAAAACAACATTAATCTCCTTGTACGTTTTCATCAGAGCTCTTAGGTCACCAGGGGCAGTGTTAAGGAGTAGTAACCTTTGTTATTGTTGTTGAGAGACAGGATCTTACTTTGTCACCCAGACTGGAGTTCAGTGCCATGATCACAGCTCACTGCAGTCTTAAACTCCTGGGCAATCCTCTCACCTCAGCCTCTTTAGTAACTGGGAGTGCCATGATCATAGCTCACTGCAGTCTTAAACTCCTGGGCGATCCTCTCGCCTCAGCCTCTTTAGTAACTGGGACTACAGATGTGAACTACCATGCGTGGCTATTTTTTTTTTATTATTATTGTTCGTAGAGACAGTTGCCTATGTTGCCTAGACTGATCTTGAACTCCTGACCTCAAGTGATCCTTCTGCCTCAGCTTCCCAAAGAGTTGGGATTATAGGCATGAAACACTGTGCCAGGCCAAATAGTAATCTTTTGAAAAAATTTTTTTATTTTCTTTTTCTGAGTAGTAGGTCTCAACAGCAGGCCTAAAATATTCAGTAAACCATGCCATAAACAGATGTGCTATCCTCTAGGCTTTGTTGTCCTAATTTACAGAACACAAGCAGAGTAGATTTAGCATAATTCTTAAAGACCCTAGGATTTTAGGAATGGTAAATGAGCATTGGCTTCAAGTTAGAGTCACTAGCTGCATTATTCTCTAACTAGAGAGTCAGTCTGTTCTTTGATATTTTGAAGCCAGGCATTGAGTTCTCTCCAGCTATGAAAGTTGTAGATGGCATCTTCTTCCAATATAAGGTTGTTTGTCTACATTAAAAACTCATCTACACTAAAAATCATTGTTTAGCGCAGCCACTTTTACCAATTATCTTAGCTAGATCTTTTGATAACTTGCCACAGCTTCTACATCAGCACTTGCTGCGTCACCTTGCAGTCTCGCAGTTTTATATTATGGAGATGGCTGTTTTCCCTTAAACCTTATGAAATAATCTCTGCTAGCTTCCAACATTTCTTTCATCTTTTTTTTTTTTTTTTTTTTTGTTGAGACAGTCTTGCTCTGTCACCCAGGTTGGAGTGCAGTGGCATGATCTCAGCTCACTGAAAATTCCATCTTCTGGGTTCATGCCATTCTCCTGCCTCAGCCTCCCAAGTAGCTGAGACTACAGGCGCCCACCACCACACCCGGCTAATTTTTTGTGTTTTTAGTAGAGACGGGGTTTCACTGTGTTAGCCAGGATGGTCTCGATCTCCTGACCTCGTGATCTGCCAGCCTCGGACTCCCAAAGTGCTGGGATTACAGGCGTGAGCCACGGTGCCCAACCTTATCCTTTGTTTTCTAAGACAGGGATTTGCTCTGTTGTCCAGGCATGTCCAGGAGTACACTGGTACCATCTCAGCTTATGGTGGCCTCAACATCCCAGGCTCAAGCAATCCTCCTACCTCAGCCTCCCAAGTTGCTGGGACTACAGGTGCAGGCCGCCATGCCTGGCTATTTTCTTTTGTATTTTTTTTTGTAGAGATGGGGGTCTCACCATTTTGCTCAGGCTGGTCTTGAACTCCTGGGCTAAAGCAATCTGCCCACCTTGGGATTACAAGTGTGATTACAATTGGGATTACAATCTGCCCAACACTTTGGGATTACAGGTGTGAGCCACCATGCCCAGCCCCAACTTTTCTTCTGCAGCTTTCTCACCTCTCTCTGTCTTCATAAAATTGAAGAAAGTTAGGGGCTTGCTCTGGATTAGGCTTTGGCTTAAGGGAGTGTTGTGGCTGGTTAGACCTTCTATCCAGCTCTATAAAACTTTCTTCATATCAGCAATAAGGCTGTTTTGCTTTCTTACCATTTGTGTATTCACTGGAATAGCACTTTTAATTTTCTTCAAGAACTTTTTCTTTGCATTCACAACTTGGTCAACTATTTGGTGCAAGAGGCCTAGATTTCAGCCTGTCTTGGCTTTCAACATGCATTCCTCATGAAGGTTAATCATTTTCTAGCTTTTGATTTAAAGTGAGGGACATTCAACTCTTCCTTTTACTTGAACACTTAGAGGCCATTGTAGGGTTATTTATTGGCCTAATTTCAATGTTTCTGTGTCTCAGGGAATAAGGAGGCCCACGAAGAGGGAGAGAGATGGGGGAACAGCTGGATGGTAGAGTAGTCAGGACACACACATTTAGAGATTAAGTTTGCCACCTTACATGAGTGTGGTTGGCGGTGCCCCAAAATGATTACAATAGTAACATCAAAGATCACTGATCACAAACCACTATACCAGGTGTAATAAATGACAAGGTTTAAAATATTGTGAGAATACCCAGAATGTGACCCAGAGACACAAAACCAGCACATGCTGTTGGAAAAATCATGGTGGTGTTCTTGCTTGATGCAGGGTTGCTGCAAACCTTCAATTTGTAAAAAACACAGTATCTGTGAAGTGCAATAAAGGAAGTTCAATGAAGTGAAGAGCAATGAAACGAGGTTTGCCTGTGTTATTATATAATTAATATGGATTTAATTTGTAATAATAAACAATAAAAATGAAGAGACGTTAAGTGGCTTAAGGTTGCAAGAATAGTCAGTAGTAGAGTTAAAATGAGGTCCCCACTGTGCATCCCAGACACCTTGGCTCTTGATTTTTCTACCTCAACGTGAGCCAGAATTCCACTTAGGTTTACCTCCGTAGCCTGAGTCATCTGTGATTGCCCTGGTTAGTTTGTTTAAAAATAACCTTTTTATTTTGAAGTAATTTCAGGTTTACAGAAAAATTGCAACGATAATACAGAGAGTTCCTTTACCTGAGATTCTCCTAATCTCACATAGCCAAGATACATTGGTCAAAAACTAAGAAATTAATATCGATACAGGACAATGAACTAAACAACAGACTATTCAGATTTCACCTGGGTGATTTTTTCACTTCTTAAATTAGAAAGTATTTCAAATTAGAGAAAAGTAGAGACTGGCCTTAGTGTCACAGTGACACATAGGCCTCAGGGCACCAAAAGACTCAATGGGTCAAAGATTTGTGGACTGTTGGTTTGTTTTAATATTTATTTATTTATTTATTTATTTATGACAGAGTCTCGCTTTGTCGCCCAGGCTGGAGTGCAGTGGCTCTGAGTCAGCTCACTGCAATCTCCGCCCCCCAGGTTCAAGCAATTCTCCCACCTCAGCCTCCCTAGTAGCCGGGATTACAGGCGCCTGCCACCACGCCTCGCTAATTTTTGTATTTTTAGTAGAGATGGGGTTTCACCATGTTGGCCAGGCTGGTCTTAAACTCCTGACCTCAGGTGATCTGCCCACCTCAGCCTCCCACAGTGCTGGGATTACAGGCATGAGCCACCGTGCCCAGCCCTCTTTATTCTCATCTGAAACAATACTGAGCAACTTTCTAATGTGAGTCACACTTCTTCTGACTCTTCCACTACAGTGGGATCCCCCAAATCTAGGACCCCCTAAGCTGGTATTGCTGGACAGTGATCTGGCTTTTTAAGGTAGGAACCCTGGTCTCTTGATGACAGCCAATCACAACTTTCTTGCTCCATTTGAGATGCTGAAGGGACTCTCTGGTTATTATAAAACTCATTAAATTGCAAGCAAATAAATTTCTCGATACAGACTTTCCATAGCCATGAGACAATATCACATACTTTTTTTAAATTGTAATATGCGCATGTTATGTTCTGAATAGGGGCACACAAATTCAAGTACATCTTTCTGAAGAATAATAGACCAAAGTTGTTAATCTGTTTTTTCTTAAAGAAAAGCCTATTAATATCAGATGAGTGGAAGAGAATCTATAAAGTCAAAATGACTAAGAATCTGCTATGACAAGACCACAAACCCACAGAAGCAGAAACAGAAGAAAGAGAAGAGACAAAAAAGAATTGGGAAGAAAGTAGAGACACAGGCTTCGGCATTTAAGTACTCCTGTGGCTTGAATGGCAAAATGCCCGTGGAGACTCAGAGAAGCAGCACATCGATAAATCAATCAGACACTACAAGCTTGAAGAAGAATGATAGAGTGATGTCCCCCGGCTGGAATGCCTGATGGGGGTTGGGAGTTGCACATGCCTCCAGGAAATATCCACCTTCAGAAGACTTACTCTCTGAGGTCTAGTTTTCCCCTCTTCATTAAACCTCAATTGTTGGCAAGAGACCATGGATGTTTAGAAAAACCACTGGGCATTGCTTTTTATATGCCCGTCTGATTGAGGCCACTGAGGCAGATCCACTGACGTTCCCTGGTGTCCAGGGAGGTTGACAACCACTGCAACATTTTTAGGGTGTCGTTGAGGTTTTGTTGTCTGATTTTTAAAACAAAACTAGCATTCTTTCTGAGGGTATTTTGGCTTATTATTCTGATATGTGAAATTGAGATAAAAGCAAATTAACACGTGCAGGTAGCTACACTCAACCCCCGCCCCCTTCCAATCTCTAATAACTTTATTCTGTCCTTTCATGAGAGAGCCAAGGAGATAACACCCCATCTAGTGAGTGGATAATTAATTTCAATTTTCTCAATCTTTTTAGAGTTGTACACGTGAGGATTTGGTGACTTTTTACATCTCCAATATAATGTTCTCTATCACAAATGCTTCTTAATTGTCCAGGCTATAGATATGACATCTAGGCAGCTTTCCTTTCCTTTGGACCATTAGTAAGACAAATGGCTTTGCTGTCCAGCAGTGTGGGGTGGGGCTCTGTTGAGTACAGAATCATGTAGAGAAGCCTCTGATGGTGGTAGAAGGCATGTACAGGTTTGGAATCTGTAATATCACAGGGTATAAATTGAGAAGAGAAGTAAAAGGCAAGTTTGAGTTAAATCTATTCCGCCCTTCTGCTATGTTCCTATGGCACTGAGACTTGTTCTACGTCATGATGGAAGAGCTGTCTGTCTAGGGAAAAATCCATCCTGACTCTGATTTATCTGCATAATGACAACAATGCAAGGTTCTTGAATTATCTCGTGGATTAAAGACCCCTTAGAGACTGAGATTCAGACAGTGTATATTGGCACCATGATAGCAAGCAGACAAATGATACACATCGGAGAGCCAGGCAACAGACCCGTGTAGATATGCGAGCTAGTTACGTGACAGATATGGCCTTGCAAATCAGTACAGACAGACAGACCCCTTGGAAAATAGTGTTGAGACCATCAATAACTCATATACCAATGACAACAAAAACTTGTTTCTACTTCAACACAAAAAATAAATTCTAAGTGCATTAAAGACCTGCCTCATTGAGGGATAGGGTGAGGATTAAAACAAAATACAAGAGCATATCCTTATGGTCTTGAGGTAGGGAGGAAACTCTTAGGGCACAGGTATCAATAATGAAAAACTGATAAATCTCACTATATTAAACTTTCTGTGCCCTAAACAACATGCAAAGGTAAACCACATATTGGGAGGAGATGTTTGTAACATTATTAGATACACAAATTTGAAAAGGAAAAGATAACTCAATGGAAAAATAAAAAATGACACGAACAGGTTATTCACAGAAAAGAAATCCAAATATCTCCAAATCATACAGTTATTTTCAGCTTAACTAGTAATCAGGGACATGTAAATTAAAACAGCAATGAAATTACCTTGTTATACCATCATCAGACTGGTGAAAAATGAGAAGTCTAATTAAAGTTGAGATTTGGCAAAGATGAGATGCAATGGATACTTTCATAAACAAATTTTTTTTTTTTAATTTTTTTTTTTTTATTATACTCTAAGTTTTAGGGTACATGTGCACATTGTGCAGGTTAGTTACATATGTATACATGTGCCATGCTGGTGCGCTGCACCCACTAACGTGTCATCTAGCATTAGGTATATCTCCCAATGCTATCCCTCCCCCCCTCCCCCGACCCCACCACAGTCCCCAGAGTGTGATATTCCCCTTCCTGTGTCCAAGTGATCTCATTGTTCAATTCCCACCTATGAGTGAGAATATGCGGTGTTTGGTTTTTTGTTCTTGCGATAGTTTACTGAGAATGATGATTTCCAATTTCATCCATGTCCCTACAAAGGACATGAACTCATCATTTTTTATGGCTGCATAGTATTCCATGGTGTATATGTGCCACATTTTCTTAATCAAGTCTATCATTGTTGGACATTTGGGTTGGTTCCAAGTCTTTGCTATTGTGAATAGTGCCGCAATAAACATACGTGTGCATGTGTCTTTATAGCAGCATGATTTATAGTCCTTTGGGTATATACCCAGTAATGGGATGGCTGGGTCAAATGGTATTTCTAGTTCTAGATCCCTGAGGAATCGCCACACTGACTTCCACAATGGTTGAACTAGTTTACAGTCCCACCAACAGTGTAAAAGTGTTCCTATTTCTCCACATCCTCTCCAGCACCTGTTGTTTCCTGACTTTTTAATAATTGCCATTCTAACTGGTGTGAGATGATATCTCATAGTGGTTTTGATTTGCATTTCTCTGATGGCCAGTGATGATGAGCATTTCTTCATGTGTTTTTTGGCTGCATAAATGTCTTCTTTTGAGAAGTGTCTGTTCATGTCCTTTGCCCACTTTTTGATGGGGTTGTTTGTTTTTTTCTTGTAAATTTGTTTGAGTTCATTGTAGATTCTGGATATTAGCCCTTTGTCAGATGAGTAGGTTGCGAAAATTTTCTCCCATGTTGTAGGTTGCCTGTTCACTCTGATGGTAGTTTCTTTTGCTGTGCAGAAGCTCTTTAGTTTAATTAGATCCCATTTGTCAATTTTGGCTTTTGTTGCCATTGCTTTTGGTGTTTTGGACATGAAGTCCTTGCCCACGCCTATGTCCTGAATGGTAATGCCTAGGTTTTCTTCTAGGGTTTTTATGGTTTTAGGTCTAACGTTTAAATCTTTAATCCATCTTGAATTAATTTTTGTATAAGGTGTAAGGAAGGGATCCAGTTTCAGCTTTCTACATATGGCTAGCCAGTTTTCCCAGCACCATTTATTAAATAGGGAATCCTTTCCCCATTGCTTGTTTTTCTCAGGTTTGTCAAAGATCAGATAGTTGTAGATATGTGGCATTATTTCTGAGGGCTCTGTTCTGTTCCATTGATCTATATCTCTGTTTTGGTACCAGTACCATGCTGTTTTGGTTACTGTAGCCTTGTAGTATAGTTTGAAGTCAGGTAGTGTGATGCCTCCAGCTTTGTTCTTTTGGCTTAGGATTGACTTGGCAATGTGGGCTCTTTTTTGGTTCCATATGAACTTTAAAGTAGTTTTTTCCAATTCTGTGAAGAAAGTCATTGGTAGCTTGATGGGGATGGCATTGAATCTGTAAATTACCTTGGGCAGTATGGCCATTTTCACGATATTGATTCTTCCTACCCATGAGCATGGAATGTTCTTCCATTTGTTTGTGTCCTCTTTTATTTCCTTGAGCAGTGGTTTGTAGTTCTCCTTGAAGAGGTCCTTCACATCCCTTGTAAGTTGGATTCCTAGGTATTTTATTCTCTTTGAAGCAATTGTGAATGGGAGTTCACTCATGATTTGGCTCTCTGTTTGTCTGTTGTTGGTGTATAAGAATGCTTGTGATTTTTGTACATTGATTTTGTATCCTGAGACTTTGCTGAAGTTGCTTATCAGCTTAAGGAGATTTTGGGCTGAGACGATGGGGTTTTCTAGATAAACAATCATGTCGTCTGCAAACAGGGACAATTTGACTTCCTCTTTTCCTAATTGAATACCCTTTATTTCCTTCTCCTGCCTGATTGCCCTGGCCAGAACTTCCAACACTATGTTGAATAGGAGTTGTGAGAGAGGGCATCCCTGTCTTGTGCCAGTTTTCAAAGGGAATGTTTCCAGTTTTTGCCCATTCAGAATGATATTGGCTGTGGGTTTGTCATAGATAGCTCTTATTATTTTGAAATATGTCCCATCAATACCTAATTTATTGAGAGTTTTTAGCATGAAGGGTTGTTGAATTTTGTCAAAGGCTTTTTCTGCATCTATTGAGATAATCATGTGGTTTTTGTCTTTGGCTCTGTTTATATGCTGGATTACATTTATTGATTTGTGTATATTGAACCAGCCTTGCATCCCAGGGATGAAGCCCACTTGATCATGGTGGATAAGCTTTTTGATGTGCTGCTGGATTCGGTTTGCCAGTATTTTATTGAGGATTTTTGCATCAATGTTCATCAAGGATATTGGTCTAAAATTCTCTTTTTTGGTTGTGTCTCTGCCCGGCTTTGGTATCAGGATGATGCTGGCCTCATAAAATGAGTTAGGGAGGATTCCCTCTTTTTCTATTTATTGGAATAGTTTCAGAAGGAATGGTACCAGTTCCTCCTTGTACCTCTGGTAGAATTCGGCTGTGAATCCATCTGGTCCTGGACTCTTTTTGGTTGGTAAACTATTGATTATTGCCACAATTTCAGAGCCTGTTATTGGTCTATTCAGAGATTCAACTTCTTCCTGGTTTAGTCTTGGGAGAGTGTATGTGTCGAGGAATGTATCCATTTCTTCTAGATTTTCTAGTTTATTTGCATAGAGGTGTTTGTAGTATTGTCTGATGGTAGTTTGTATTTCTGTGGGATCGGTGGTGATATCCCCTTTATCATTTTTTATTGTGTCTATTTGATTCTTCTCTCTTTTTTTCTTTATTAGTCTTGCTAGCGGTCTATCAATTTTGTTGATCCTTTCAAAAAACCAGCTCCTGGATTCATTGATTTTTTGAAGGGTTTTTTGTGTCTCTATTTCCTTCAGTTCTGCTCTGATTTTAGTTATTTCTTGCCTTCTGCTAGCTTTTGAATGTGTTTGCTCTTGCTTTTCTAGTTCTTTTAATTGTGATGTTAGGGTGTCAATTTTGGATCTTTCCTGCTTTCTCTTGTAGGCATTTAGTGCTATAAACTTCTCTCTACACACTGCTTTGAATGCGTCCCAGAGATTCTGGTATGTGGTGTCTTTGTTCTCGTTGGTTTCAAAGAACATCTTTATTTCTGCCTTCATTTCGTTATGTACCCAGTAGTCATTCAGGAGCAGGTTGTTCAGTTTCCATGTAGTTGAGCGGCTTTGAGTGAGATTCTTAATCCTGAGTTCTAGTTTGATTGCACTGTGGTCTGAGAGATAGTTTGTTATAATTTCTGTTCTTTTACATTTGCTGAGGAGAGCTTTACTTCCAACTATGTGGTCAATTTTGGAATAGGTGTGGTGTGGTGCTGAAAAAAATGTATATTCTGTTGATTTGGGGTGGAGAGTTCTGGAGATGTCTATTAGGTCTGCTTGGTGCAGAGCTGAGTTCAATTCCTGGGTATCCTTGTTGACTTTCTGTCTCATTGATCTGTCTAATGTTGACAGTGGGGTGTTAAAGTCTCCCATTATTAATGTGTGGGAGTCTAAGTCTCTTTGTAGGTCACTCAGGACTTGCTTTATGAATCTGGGTGCTCCTGTATTGGGTGCATAAATATTTAGGATAGTTAGCTCCTCTTGTTGAATTGATCCCTTTACCATTATGTAATGGCCTTCTTTGTCTCTTTTGATCTTTGTTGGTTTAAAGTCTGTTTTATCAGAGACTAGGATTGCAACCCCTGCCTTTTTTTGTTTTCCATTGGCTTGGTAGATCTTCCTCCATCCTTTTATTTTGAGCCTATGTGTGTCTCTGCACATGAGATGGGTTTCCTGAATACAGCACACTGATGGGTCTTGACTCTTTATCCAACTTGCCAGTCTGTGTCTTTTAATTGCAGAATTTAGTCCATTTATATTTAAAGTTAATATTGTTATGTGTGAATTTGATCCTGTCATTATGATGTTAGCTGGTGATTTTGCTCATTAGTTGATGCAGTTTCTTCCTAGTCTCGATGGTCTTTACATTTTGGCATGATTTTGCAGCGGCTGGTACCGGTTGTTCCTTTCCATGTTTAGCGCTTCCTTCAGGAGCTCTTTTAGGGCAGGCCTGGTGGTGACAAAATCTCTCAGCATTTGCTTGTCTATAAAGTATTTTATTTCTCCTTCACTTATGAAGCTTAGCTTGGCTGGATATGAAATTCTGGGTTGAAAATTCTTTTCTTTAAGAATGTTGAATATTGGCCCCCACTCTCTTCTGGCTTGTAGGGTTTCTGCCGAGAGATCCGCTGTTAGTTTGATGGGCTTTCCTTTGAGGGTAACCCGACCTTTCTCTCTGGCTGCCCTTAACATTTTTTCCTTCATTTCAACTTTGGTGAATCTGACAATTATGTGTCTTGGAGTTGCTCTTCTCGAGGAGTATCTTTGTTGCGTTCTCTGTATTTCCTGAATCTGAACGTTGGCCTGCCTTGCTAGATTGGGGAAGTTCTCCTGGATAATATCCTGCAGAGTGTTTTCCAACTTGGTTCCATTCTCCACATCACTTTCAGGTACACCAATCAGACGTAGATTTGGTCTTTTCACATAGTCCCATATTTCTTGGAGGCTTTGCTCATTTCTTTTTATTCTTTTTTCTCTAAACTTCCCTTCTCGCTTCATTTCATTCATTTCATCTTCCATTGCTGATACCCTTTCTTCCAGTTGATCGCATCGGCTCCTGAGGCTTCTGCATTCTTCACGTAGTTCTCGAGCCTTGGTTTTCAGCTCCATCAGCTCCTTTAAGCACTTCTCTGTATTGGTTATTCTAGTTATACATTCTTCTAAATTTTTTTCAAAGTTTTCAACTTCTTTGCCTTTGGTTTGAATGTCCTCCCGTAACTTAGAGTAATTTGATCGTCTGAAGCTTTCTTCTCTCAGCTCGTCAAAATCATTCTCCATCCAGCTTTGTTCTGTTGCTGGTGAGGAACTGCGTTCCTTTGGAGGAGGAGAGGCGCTCTGCGTTTTAGAGTTTCCAGTTTTTCTGTTCTGTTTTTTCCCCATCTTTGTGGTTTTATCTACTTTTGGTCTTTGATGATGGTGATGTACAGATGGGTTTTCGGTGTAGATGTCCTTTCCGGTTGTTAGTTTTCCTTCTAACAGACAGGACCCTCAGCTGCAGGTCTGTTGGAATACCCTGCCGTGTGAGGTGTCAGTGTGGCCCTGCTGGGGGGTGCCTCCCAGTTAGGCTGCTCGGGGGTCAGGGGTCAGGGACCCACTTGAGGAGGCAGTCTGCCCGTTCTCAGATCTCCAGCTGCGTGCTGGGAGAACCACTGCTCTCTTCAAATCTGTCAGACAGGGACACTTAAGTCTGCAGAGGTTACTGCTGTCTTTTTGTTTGTCTGTGCCCTGCCCCCAGAGGTGGAGCCTACAGAGGCAGGCAGGCCTCCTTGAGCTGTGGTGGGCTCCACCAAGTTCGAGGTTCCCGGCTGCTTTGTTTACCTAAGCAAGCCTGGGCAATGGCGGGCGCCCCTCCCCCAGCCTCGTTGCTGCCTTGCAGTTTGATCTCAGACTGCTGTGCTAGCAATCAGCGAGATTCCGTGGGCGTAGAACCCTCTGAGCCAGGTGTGGGATATAGTCTCGTGGTGCGCCGTTTCTTAAGCCGGTCTGAAAAGCGCAATATTCGGGTGGGAGTGACCCGATTTTCCAGGTGCGTCCGTCACCCCTTTCTTTGACTCGGAAAGGGAACTCCCTGACCCCTTGCGCTTCCCAGGTGAGGCAATGCCTCGCCCTGCTTCGGCTCGCGCACGGTGCGCACACACACTGGCCTGCGCCCACTGTCTGGCACTCCCTAGTGAGATGAACCCGGTACCTCAGATGGAAATGCAGAAATCACCCGTCTTCTGCGTCGCTCACGCTGGGAGCTGTAGACCGGAGCTGTTCCTATTCGGCCATCTTGGCTCCTCCCACTCTCATAAACAAATTTTTGTGACCATTTTGAGAAGAATTTAGCTTGCTTTATTTATTTATTTATTTATTTATTTATTTATTTATTTTTGAGACAGTGTCTCACTCTGTGGCCCAGGCTGGAGTGCAGTGGTGTGGTTTCGGCTCACTGCAACCTTTGCCTCCTAGGTTCAAGCAATTCTCTGACTCAGCCTCCTGAGTAGCTGGGATTATAGGTGCCTACCACTACGCCTGGCTAATTTTTGTAGTTTTAGTTGAGATGGGGTTTCACCATCTTGGCCAGGCTGGTCTTGAACTCCTGACCTCGTGATCCACTCTCCTGGGCCTCCCAAAGTGCTGGGATTACAGGCATGAGCCACCATACCCGGCCAGAATTTAGTTTTATTAAGCCGTGTTGAAAGTGCACATGTTCTTAGACCCAGCATTTTCACATCTATATACATACCTTGAAGCAATTTGCACACGTGCACAAGGAGATCTTCAGAAATATTAATTACGTCATCATTCAGTAAATGTCAAAAATGGAAACAAATGTCCATCAAAGAGTAGAATAAAAAAATTGTAACATATTTATATAATAGAATATCTAATGGCAGTTAAAATTATACTATATCTCATGAATACATAGCATATAATAATGTCTTATTAAGGGTTAACTATTATTTTGCTGTAAGTACTACTATAAGCACTTTGCATGTCAATATTAATTCATATAACTCTCATAACAACCCTGTGATGGGGGGTACTATTAGCATCCCCATTTTACAGATGAAGAAAGTAAGAAGCAGGGAAGTTTAAGTATTTAAAGGTCTCATAGCTGTCGGTGGCAGAGTTGGGCTGTGAACCAGCCCATCTACTCCAGAATTGGTGCTTTAACACTATGCTTGCCTCATAAAACAAACAGAATGCTAGGAAACAAAATGTAAAGTTGAGCAAAAAGTTCCACTGGGAAGACGATACATATGAGTCTCCATTATCTAGGGTTAGGTTCAGCCACATTTAACAACTACAAAAACAACAACAATAAGTGGCTTAAACAAGGTAGAGGTTTCTTTATGATGTAAAACAAATCTAGAGGTAGGTAGTCCAAGGCTGATATGGAGGCACCAAGGTCCTGCGGGACCCCGTTTTTTCTGTTCCATCATCCTTAGCTCTGGTTTCCATCATCAAGGTGGTGTCATGAACCAAAGGACTATTGGAGCTACATCCACCTCAGTCATGTTCCACATAGGAAAAGGAAAGAAACGGGGAAGCAACGCAAAAGATATACCTGTTAGCGGAGTCCCTTTAAGGAGGTTAGACCAGTGACCTTTGCTGTGCCCCTACAGCCACAGGAAGAGGGGGCAGATGTAGTACTTTAGCTGGGCAAATTGTTGATCAGAATAAATTGCAAGTTCTGTAAGCAAGAAAAGAAAATATTGAGTAGGCAACTAACAGTTCAGTTATAAATGCTATTTATATAAGGTTTAAAACAATGCTACATATTCTTTATGTGAAACTATATTGTTTTGAATTTTACATATACTTATGATAGTAGAAAAACATGTGTGGAAATAATACCAAGTTTAGGACAACAGTAATGCTTGGAGAAGGAGAGGAATTGGAGGAGAATACACAATAAACTTCAACTATATCTCTAAATTTTTTCAAAGAAAATCTAAAACAAAAATGATATAATGTTCAAATTTGATTAGTTGGATAGAGGGCAAAGCCTGGTGTGTCTTTGGGGAGCGTATGTATATCTCCAATTCTCTTCTTCTGTTGTTCAGTTCTCTTTTTCTGTCTCAATTTTCTCTCTTCCTGTAGAAAAAGGTCTGAATCCCTGAGAACTGCCTTCCCTGCTAAAAGTTCAAGCCCTCAGTGAACTTGGGACAGTTTGTTCCAAAGTGAAGCAGTTTTGGAGAGCACCTGCTTTAACGGTGATATATTGGTTGAGAGCTTATCAAATATCACACACTAAGCTAAGCCTTTCACCAATATGAATTTATTTAATCCTCACAAGATCCCTGGCGCTAAAACTATTGTTATTCCCATATTACAGAAGAGGAAACTAGGGCTCAGTAAAGTTAAATATCCTCCCTAAAACCCTACAATTCATGGGAGCATGTTTCAGGTTGGAATCCATACTTGTCTGACTTCAGAACTGGGGCCCAAATCTGCCATGCTGTACTGAGACACTTAATGAGCTTTATTAAAGTCCAGTCACACACCCTGCTCCATCTCCTAGTAGACTTCTAGGAAGGGCTCTCTGGTATGTACCCAAAACTAGTCACAAGGGATAAGGCGGGGTGCTGAATCTGGAATGAAAACATAGGTTGGATTTACCCTGTACTTGGTGGGATCTCAGTTGGGGGGCCACAGAGGGCCAGCCAGGCTGAGATCAAGGAGAAAGCAAGCAAGGGGCTAATTGCTCAGAGAGAGGATTTGGTCTAGAAACTAAAGAAATAGGAGGGCTGCTTAAGCATTTTGTTATTCATGGTCTTGCCTCTGCAGGGCAGAAAGCAGCAATGTACTTGAGGTAGAAACTTTGGCCAGGAATTGGATGCGTACACTGACGTCCCTAGTGCCATTTCTTTCCCAAATCTAAACTAGGTGACTAGTTTTGGGTACATACCAGAAAGCCCTTCCTAGAAGTCTACTAGGAGATGAAGCAGGGTGTGTGACTGGATTTTAATAAAGCTCATTAAATGTCTCAGTACAGCATGGCAGATTTGGGCCCCAGTTCTGAAGTCAGACAAGTATGGATTCCAACCTGGAACATTAATCACTCTGCATTCTCCTTGTCTTAGTCCATTTTGTGTTGCTCTAACAATACCATGGTCTCAGAATATCAGAGACTGGGTAATTTATAAAGAAAAGAAGTTTATTTAGCTTATAGTTTTATAGACTGTGAAGTTCAAGGGCATAGCTCTGCTTTTTGGTGAGAGCTTTTGTGCTGCATGCTAACATGGTGAAGAAGACATAGGGAAAGGGTACACACACAAAGAGACAAAACCCCAGGGGTGTCCTGGCTTTATAAGAACCCACTCTCATGGGAACTAATCCATTTTTGTGAGAACTAATCCAGTATCATCATAGCAAGAACTCACTCACTACCTTGGGAATGGCACCAAGCCACCCAAGAGGGATCCGACCCCATGGCCCAAACACCTTTCATCAGACCCCACCTCCCATACTGCTACACTGGGGATCAAATTTCAACATGAGTTTTGGTAGGGACAAACCAAACCCTAGTAACCCTCTAGAGTGCTCCTCGTGAACAGGGACTACGTCTGGTTCAAGATCCGCCACTGTCCCGGCACATAGCACAAACTTGGATGTTGAATAAACAGATGAATAAACAAAGGAATAAGTAAACTCAACAGGATTGAAGTTCGTCAGAGTTCTTTGGACTGGGACGGAACAATTAGCCAATAAATAAAAAAACTGTATTAGGTTGGTGCAAAAGTAATTGGGGTTTTTACCATTAAAAGTAATGGCGGCCGGGCACGGTGGCTCACGCCTGTAATCCCAGCACTTTGTGAGGCTGAGACGGGCGGATCACGAGGTCAGGAGATCGAGACCATCCTGGCTAACATGGTGAAACCCTGTCTCTACTAAAAATACAAAAAATTAGCCAGGCGTGTTGGTGGGCGCCTGTAGTCCCAGCTACTCGGGAGGCTGAGGCAGGAGAATGGTGTGAACCCGGGAGGCAGAGCTTGCAGTAAGCCGAGATCGCGCCGTTGCACTCTGGCCTGGGCAACAGAGGGAGACTCCGTCTCAAAAAAAGTAATGGCAATAACTGCAACTACTTTTGCAACAACCCAGTAGTTCCTGGAGGGCAAAGGCCAATGCATGATTTGTGTTTGTATGCCTTGCCTTGCCTAGCACTGTGTCCATAGTAGTGCTTGCTGAATGGTTGCTGAGTTGAATGGAAATGAGTTATTAAATAAAAACAGAGATTTATAACAATGGACTGGAATGGCATAGGACATTCAAGAGATCCGTATGTAAAGAGCCAGTGACTTGTTTGAACATAATCTCAAAACTCTACTATAAATATTATTGTCCTCATTAGGAAAAGTAAAATAATATGGCCATTATTTCGTCCATTCTATGTGCCAGGTGCTGTTGAGTAGATTATCTCTAATACTTACCATCACTTTGCAAGGGAAGTGTGATTATTACCATTTTCCAATGAAGAAACTCAGTCCCAGAAGGTTAAGCAGCTTCCTGAAGCTCAGATTATAAAAGACCCAGGCAGGATTTATATGCAGGTCTCTCAGGCCTATGATTCTGCCATCCCAAGAAAAACTAACAGAGCTATTATGGTGGTTAGACTTTTTCCTTTCACAAATGGAATTGCAGCATCAACAAATGGCAGGAAAGAAGTTGCATTTCTTCCTTCAGTAAAGATTCTGAAATGTCCTGTAACTCCTCCCAAGGCATTGGTGATTTTATGGCTACTCTGAATTTACTTGAATTGCAACTGCTAACCTAATTGTTTTCTGCTGGCAAATGTAGTGAATGTAATATAAGCCCTTATTTCCCCTTGGTGTGATGTTATGAATTGGTATTATGCTTATGGCAACTCTTTGTATACCGTAAAAATACCAACACTAATCATGAAAATAAATGAAGGGGAAAATAACCTCCAAAATATGTGCTTTTGCAACATTTATTAGAAAGCAAAAATGAAACACTGAATGTAAAGGCTATAATTTATTTTCTTTCTTTTTAAAGAGGCTTTAAAAACTAAGTGCGATGGAGTTTAAAATGAAAACACTGGCTTTCTTTCCTGGGAAATATGTCTCTTAACAAGCTTCTTAAACACTTTTCTTTGCTCCAGGGTCCTCTGGACTGAATTAAAATTAAAGTCAGCTCTCTTACAACTTTTCTTATGAGTCAGTATGCCTGAAAGCTTCTTCAATCAGGCGTTGGCCAAGAAATCTTGATCCTTGTTGTGTGATATAAAATATTCTTTGCGATGACTATCTTCTTATTTCAACAATTTCAGCACAGTTTTCTGGAAGATTCTTCTTTTTCTTCTTTTCTGCATTTGCAGCTTTTCCTTGAGTTTATAGCCCTCTCTTCCTGATAAGCTCAAACCATCCTTTCCTCATGTTGAAAATTCCTTCCTGGATGTTTTACCACATGGGTTCTTAGTTTTTGAAAGAGAAATGTTGCCTTGGTCAGCACTGTAGCTTTGGTAGAGAAGCATATAATTTGCATGCTGCTTACAAAGGTTTGCAATAAAAAATTATTCCCTCCCACAACTAAGCCGATTGCTTTTTCTTACTATTGTTGATTACACTGGACTGATTTCAATTCCCTCAGTGAATAATTGGCATAAGAGTTGGTTGCAGTAAGTAAGCCTGTTGTAAATACAAGTTGGTGTTGTCATGAAGTATGTGCATATGTGTGTGTGTGTGTGTAAATATTTATAATAAAAAGCAGTTTAAACATGGAAAGTTGCCATCTGGGCCTTCATAGGTTGGAGACTGTGCACACATCTTGCTTTTTTTGAATCACAGAACAGGATGTCAGAACACCTCGGGGTTCATGGACCATGGTGCTCTGTCCGTATGGACTGTTAATACATCCTGAACAATGAATATCCGTGGGAAATCATGATGATGCTCACTTGATTTACAATATTGATTTTTATCAAAAAGAAAATAAGGTTTTGAGGTACAAAATAGATTCTGCTAGATATCTAGTACTGCCACATCAGGGCTAATGCTCTCACTTTTGCCTCATTTAGGCCCCAGGCCATTGTCACAAGTGTCACTGCATAAAGGAAGAAGTGTGACATAAAGAGTTCTGAACAGGCTGCTGCAGTGCCCCTCAAGATTTCCAGTGAAGCTTCTGAAAATTAAACTTTTAAATCTCTGTCATTTAGGCCAGTCATCATTATCTTTAAAGTTTCAGATGACTGGGAGACTGATGAGAGGAAAATGTGAGAGGCAGGTGGAAAAGGCTAAGAGGATGGGGCTACTGTGCTGGTCAGCTAAGATGGGCCACATTCAAGCTGATGAGTGGGTTCCTAGGCCAGTCTTACAAAGAAAACATGAAGAAGAGCTAAAAGACAGAACAGATGGCTAAAAAGACTTCTTTTGACTTTATATTCCCCGATTACTATCCACACAGGGCTGACTGCTCTCTTGGCTCTTAGATTCTATGAGATGCTCCTGATTCCTTTCAATATGCCCTCCCTTAATAAGACAAAATTAAGAAACAACTCCAAAGCTGGTCCTGTCTTGGAGCCATTATAGCATTTTGCAAACAACTGGATCCAGACTACCTGGATGCAAATACTAGCTCTGCTTCTTTCTAGCTGTGAGTCTCAACCTCTCAGGATCTCAATTACCTTCTTTGTGTGGGGATAATAATAATATATACCTCTTGGGCTGTGAGGATTCCATGAAATAATATTTTTAAAACATTAGAACGAGTGCTTCGTAGGAAGTATTTGTCATAAGTGGCTGTTAACTAAACATATCCAAGCAAACAAACACATTTCAGATAGCCCACGGGTTCTTATGAGTCTATTAATCTGGGTTAAACATCTCATAATTTGGATTAAAATTTGTGTTTATACTCAGAATGGGATATTATTTCTTTGAAGATTACATTCCCTGGAATATCATCTATACAAAGACTAAGAACCACAAATTAAAGACGAAATAATGAATATAACTCATTTCCCCTTCTCCCATCTAAAATCAGGGGAAATTATTATTGAGGCTTCACTTTGTACTCATTCGTACTGTCATGTGTTCTGCCTATATTCTTCCCACTGGGTTGTTTTAGCACCACGTGAACAGATCATCCATTCCCTTATGGACTTGGTTGCTACCTTAGCTGCTCCCAAGAATTTGAAATATTCATTCCAGACCAAACAGCCTTTCTGCTGGCAGCAAGCATGTCAAAACACAGGGAAAAAGATTCAGGGATTAAAAAAAAAATAAGGCACAGAAAACAGGACTTGCCATACCAAATGGAGCAAATCTGATTTACAAATGATCTCTAACCTCTGAGATCAGCCCAAATAAAGAAGCATCTGCCATCACTGGGAACATCCAACACTCTTCACCCTGACAAGGGGCCTCCAAAGACTCGATTCCATTTCAATCTAATTGGGTCCTTGCCCTCTCCTGCTTCCCTCCAGCCATGCACAGCAAGCCAAACCATCTTGGGATGGAAAGCCAGCCCAGAGATGAGCAACACCTTGACAGTGGAAGCAGAGAGTGGAGGCAGGGCAGCAGCTCTGCTAATTACAGAACAACCAGGTGCATTGATTTCAGCTTCATACAGAGCATACTGAGATTACTGTCCATGGAATCTCAGACCTTTCACTGATGGCTGTGTTTAGATAGAATTTTCCTTTCGCCAAGGCATAGCATACACAGAAATCTTCCTGCATGAACCATCTAACCTATCTGTGGTTCATCTTAATGGCAGTGACCACATTTTCTAAGTCACAAATGGACAAGTATGTGTGTGTGAGATGAACAGTGCCTATGTCAAGAGAGATGTCCTGGAAAATCTGGGCTGACTATTTTACCTTTTCATACTTCTATGCATTAAATATTCATCGAGCATATACTAAGGTTGAAATGCTGTTGCAGAAGCTGGTGATATGGCATGAACTTGACAGGTGAGACCATTGCCTTCATGAAGCTTACATTTTGGTGGAGGAGATATATAAAGAAAAAATAAACAAGATCATATCAGACTGTGTTTAGTTCTCTGAAGGAATACACAGGGAGAAGAGGAGGAGGATGTAACAGTAGCTAACTATTATGCACCAGACACAATTCTAAGCATTTTGCTTGTATTAACTCATTTATCTGTCATAATCACCATATCATTTTGGTTATTTTCCCCCACTTGGCAGATGAGAAAATTGAGGCAGAGGGAGTAAGCATAATTTGTCCCCAAATGGCCATGGCAACTTCATCCTTTCAGTTGTTGGTCAAAATTTTTTGTGTCATTCTTATTTCTCTCTCTCCCCTTCATTCTCTCTCGCTCTCTTTTCCTGTATCTAGCCATATAAAATTAATCAAGAAATACCATGTTATTTACACTAATGTATAACAGTCTATTTCTTGTTGCCTCCACTAATACTACCCTGATCCAGGTCACCACTATATCTCCTACCTGATTGCACTTTTATTTTGCCTCCTGAGTCTGTGCTTAAAAAAGCACACGTACGTTCACTGTAGCATGAGTCGCAATAGAAAAGACATGGAATCAACTTAAATGCCCATCAATGATAGACTGGATAAAGAAAATATGGTACATATACACCATGGAATACTGTGCAGCCACAAAAAAGAATAATATTATGTCCTTTGCGGGGACATGGATGGAGCCATTATCCTTGGCAAAGTAATACAGGAACAGAAAACCAAATCACTGCATGTTCTCATTTGTAAGTGGGAACTAAATGATGAGAACACAAGGGTACAGAGAGGGGAAGAACATACACTGGGGCCTATCGGAGGGTGGAGGATGGGAGGAGGGAGAGGATCAGGAAAAATAATGGGTATTAGGCTTAGTACATGGGTAATGAAATAATCTGTACCATGAACCCCCATGACACAAGTTTACCTGAGAAGCTATAATTCCTTTTTTTTTTTTTTTTTTTTTTTAGAGACAGAGTCTTACTCTGTCACCCAGGCTGAAATGCAGTGATGTAATCATAGCTCACTGTAACTTTGACCTACAGGCCTCAAGTGATCATCCCACCTCAGTCCCCCAAAGTGCTGGAATTACAGGAAGGGGCCAGTGTACCTGGCCACATCCTTAAAAATATGTCAAGTTATTTCTCAACTGCACTCAAAACTCTCCATTGGCTTCCTATATGTTTGGAGTAAAAGTAAAGTACCATAACTATAATTCTAACTATAATTCCTTTGTATTTGTATCCCTTAGTTACTCTGCAGTTAATACTGACAGCCCTATACATTCTGGCCCCTCCTCTCTTCTCTGATCCTCTTTCTAAGTTCCCCTTCTCTCTTGTTCAGTCTGCTCCAGCTATAATGGCCTCCCAGTTGTTGTTAGGGCACACAGGTCATGTGCCCCCTCAAAGACTTCAAACCTGTGATTACCTCTGTCTTGATACCTGCAAACCTCCCTTGAGCACCTCCTCTGTTTCTTGCTCTTTTTAATGAGAACTTCCTTGACCATCCTATTTAAAACTGTAAGTTCCCTCCACTCTGGGAGCCTTTGTCCTCCTTCCTTGCATTTTTTTATTCAAAGCATTTATCATCTGATGTAATATATACATTTACATTTTTTGTTTGCTTATTGCCATTGCTTTCCACTACTAGCATGTAAACTATATGAAAACAGGGACTTTTGTCTGTTTTGTTCATTGCTTTTTCCAGAAAGCCTAGAATAGTTCCTTGTATGTAGGAAACACTAAATAAATATCTGTTGAATTAATGAATTACGGAAGAAGACCTATTCCTCTGACTTAATAAAAAAGTTTAAGATTAAAAAAGATAATGATGTCTGATTTAGGAAAGAAACAGGAGAAAGAATGACTGCAAAATAGATGAAGAAAGGAGGATATACTTACAGGGGAAGAACAGTTTGAAGAGATGGCAGTCATAAAAATAACCTGAACATACGGAAAGCAAAATCTTTGGTTGAGTTCACTCAAGTTCTGTCTTCACTGATTACCCTGCTTTACTCACTAAGAATGTCTGTGACTTGGGGAAAACTACCTTCTTCACTCTAGTTCTTGCAGTAAAATAAGGGCAGTGCATGAATGTTTCATCGTCTTACCTAGATCTAATTTTCTGGATACATCACAGGCTTACGATGGGATTTTTTTTTTTTTTTAGTTGCTCTGTCGCCAAGGCTGGAGTGCAGTGGTGCGATCTCGGCTCACTGCAAGCTCCGCCTCCCGGGTTCATGCCATTCTCCTGCCTCAGCCTCGCAAGTAGCTGGGACTACAGGCGCCCGCCATCACACCCGGCTGATTTTTTGTATTTTTAGTAGAGACGGGGTTTCACCGTGTTAGCCAGGATGGTCTCGATCTCCTGACCTCGTGATCTGCCCGCCTTGGCCTCCCAAAGTGCTGGGATTACAGGCGTGAGCCACCACGCCCGGCCTACTATGGGATTCTTAGGTAGAAGATGCACTAGCCTGTTGCCATTGATTATTCTGAATGCTACATTGGTGGGAAGAAATGGAGTGAAGGAAATGGCAAAATCTGTGACTCAGATTTTTTAATAATCTGGAAACCGAGGCCCTGAACCAAAATTTTTTTGTTTTTTTCTTTTTGATTATAATTCTGTAGAGAGAAGGACATGTAGTCAGGGAGTAGTATGGGAGTTGGAGAAGGCATTTTTGGAGAGAATAAACATGGAAGGCTAATCTCAATCATGGAATGAGAGTCTGGGGAAGGTGTGCCTTTTCCCAAACCACAGAACAATTCTAGGAAGCATCAGGAAAGCCACTGAGAGACGCGCGAGCCTAACTCAGGGTGGTGCAAGTTCCATGGCCTCACTAAGACGTTGCTTCATAACATGGTCAATGTCACTCTGGGGTGCTTTAGACCTTTTCTCTGCATGGTGAGTTTATTGTTTGCTCACACCAGGGATAAGTGCGGGGTTTTTCTTAGGAAAGTTGCCTGGCATGCAAGCCCAGCCATGTAGGCCCAGAAGAGAAGCACAGACAAGACTATTGTATAACCAAGGTGAAACAGGCCCAGGCATCAGCAACAGCCTGAGTATTTTTGGAAAACACATTTTCATCTTCAATTTACACCAGACTTGGAGTGGAGCTAAGTCATTACAAAGTGTGAGTCCTGTTCATCCCAGCCCTAGACAGCTAGCTTTGTTAAACAGATGCCATCAGGTGCTGTCTCTGGGAGGCAGGATATCCCAAGACTGCTGCAAGAATCTGGTTCCCTTAAATTTGGCATTTCCTTATTCACAGCACACTGAAGTGACATCTTCCTGTCCTGAGAGAAGATAGAGAGTTGAAAAGGGAAACAGAGAGAGCAAGGGGGTGGGGGAAGAAGGGGAGGAGGAAGGAGTAGGGGGGGAGGAGGAGGAGGAGAGATGAAGAAGAGAAGGCTGCAAGTGTGAGCTCTCATTTATTGGGTACTATGAAAGGAAAATATCTTGGGCCCTTTCAAGCTGGAAACTGCTCAGGGCAAATCTGCCTCCCATTCTAACAAACTCATCCCTCTGCTCACAGAGATAGATCCATATTCTGATTGCCTCCTTTGGAAAGACTTATCAGAAACTCAAAAGAGTGCAACCATTTGTCTCTCACCTACCTGTGACCTGGAAGCCCCCGGGGGTGGGGTGGGGGACTTGCTTTGAATTGTCCTCACCTTTCTGGAAGGAACTAAGGTACTTCTTACATATATTGATTGATGTCTCAGCTCTCCCAAAAATGTATAAAACCAAGCTGTGCCCTGACCACCTTGGGCACATGTCATCAGGACTTTCTGAGGCTGTGTCACGGATGGGTCCTCAACCTTGGCAAAATAAACTTTCCAGATTAACTGAGACCTGTCTTAGATTTTCTGAGTTTACGGTACCTGCTACATATTAGTATTATATTGGACATTATACACTGAAAGCATGAACGCCGATCCCTACAAACACCACAAGGGATAGGCACCTCTATCATCATTTTCCACAGGAGAAAACTGAGGCTTACAGGCATAAGTGAATGGCTGAGGCCACACAGGTATAAGTGGTACAGCCTACACAGGCCTGCCTGATTCCAAAGCACACGCATTTCCCGGTATGCTTTGTGAAAACAAAGGTAAAGAAGGTCAGGAAGAATATAGATGCAGGGTTCAGTGTGGTAAAGAAGTTAACCTTGCCTAAGGGAGGTCTGGCCTTTGTCCCTGGCTTCCGGTCATCTCTAAGCCCTTGGAATGTTATTCCTGAGGGTGTTTTCATTTTTATTTGCCTGGTGTGTTGGGTCCTGCCAAATAGTTTAACAATGTTTTTTTAGGGTGGGAACTTTGGGTCCCACGGTATCAGCTCAACTTCCAGGGGTGTTGGAGACTGAAATCAGCTATGTGGTCATACAACCCATAAAGGAAAATTAAAAAAAATCTCAGGATCCCAAAGTCCTTATGCCAAAGGGAAGGTTAAACCTACAGCCTGAGTCATGCAACACCCTCTTCCAAATGAGTAGCTGTTACTAGCATTATGCATTAGCCAGACCACCAGGAAAGGTAAAAGGCCTCAGGCATCTCCAAGTGTGACTGCCTCCACAGATCATTCATAGGTAAATTATTTTTTGGCCTCTTGTGAACAAGGACATACCAATTGTAACTTTAGGTCTACAATCTAAGTCTTGCTCCTAAAACTAATATCTGTTTGGTTTCACACTGATAATGTCATTACAAGCTTATCTTCCCAGGTGTAGAAGAAAGACAAGAGATCAGTCAGCTCTCTACCTACCCAGAGAAGTCTATGTAATTGATTCTTCCTTTACTTTTTTTTTCTTTTCAAACATTCACCTTATCTTATGTAAAATGTAGATTTACTGGGCACTAACTAAAGTCTCACAAGAATGTAACCATTCACCTTACTGCCTACCGTCTCTTCTTCTTGGATGCCTGCCCCTCTTTAAGGAAATGTGTAAATACTAAACTGCCTGAAAACCTATTTGGAAAAATAGCCACAGACATGTGTGTGGCTTGAGTTTTTCCCCGATACACCCTGAAGCTGGCTTAACAAACCTCTATTGATTGAGATCTTTGCTTTAGTCACTTATTTCAATTATCTAACTATACGTATGTGATAGAGCCCCAATACAAACTCTGGATACCATGGCTCAAGGGAGCTTCTCCGGGTGGCAACACTGTGTATGTTGTCTCACACTGATGCCAGGGAAATAACACACCCATGGCTCCATGGGAAGAGGAAAGTGGGAACTCTGCATTTGGGCCTTCCCTGGCTCCTGCCTAATGTGTCTCTTCTCTTGGCTGATTTTAATTGGTGCCCTTTCCATGTAATAAGACCTAACCATGAGAATAACAGCTTTCAGTGAGTTCTGTGAGTCCTGATAGTGAATTTTTCACACCTTTGGTCTTGGGGAACCCCAAGACATGCAATTGTTGTCAGACCTTAGGGTGGTCTTATGGACTGGGCTCCCTCTAATTTCACTGTTTCACGGAACCCTTTTGCTGGCTGCTTTATTCTCTCAGAATGTGTTGTTTTCATCTCTTTTTGTTTGAGTAACAAGCCCCTGGAATGAGCCACTACTTCACTGGGCTGGGACAGCAGGAAATTGGGTATGTGGGTCAAGCCCAGGAAAATGAAAATCAAGCAAGGCCTGGGAATGGTGGTTTGTTGCTAACAAGGGGAGGGTCTGGACATGGCAGCCACAGAGCTCCCTGATCCTTGTCTCAGCTCTGCTGCTGATTTGCTGAATAACTCTGGGGAACAGAGGCTAAATCTCTCTTGGCCTCAGTTTGCACATCTGCAATATGAAGATACTGAATAATTACATTATTGTTAGGCCCCTTAGGGCTTCAGATTTTCTGGGATTTCATAATCTGACAGCATGGAATGATTAAAAACTCTCTGGAAGCTTATAATGCAAGGGAGAAGTGTATTTTTCCATTTCTGGGTATTCTCGGTGGGCTGTGCCACTTGGTTCATCAGAGCATAGCACTAATGCTTATTGCTAGCACATATCTGAGCTCCACAGAGGGCAGTTCATGACACAATTTCTTCTGTCCTTCTGCCTTTCTTTCTTTTCTCCTTTCCAATGACTACTGTGTTCCACCTTTGTGTCAGCTGCTGCGCTAGCTAACAAGGATTACAAAGATGATTATGACAGATGCCTGCCCCTCTGCCCTAAAGGGGCTTGTAATGGGGTAGGGAATTGAGTCATGGAAGCAGCTAAATAGACTAAACAAAACAAAAGGCTAACTAAATCAGAGTAGCGGTACAAGCAAAGATTGAAGGAGTAAATGAATTCAGGAGGTGACAACGGTAGTGGCAGTAGCAACGGCCTACAAGGAGGTTTTATTGGACTCGAAACATGAATTTCAATAGGTAGAGATAGGTCAAAAGGTCTTTCCAAGAGGAGAAAATGGAAAGAAGAAAGACACAGAGATTTGAACTATAAAGAGTGTTTGGGGGAATGGCCCATAGTGAGCAGGTGGGTTGTAGAGTGAGGTGGGGAGATGGTGGAAACAGGAGAGAGAGTGAGAAGTAAGGCTGAAGAGAGTAATCAGAGCCCGGACAGCCTTGTCTGTCAAGTCAAGGCATTTTAATCTTACTTGATAGCAATGAAGAGATTTTTGAAGAAGGAAGGATATCTATGAAGCTATACTTGCTTCATTCTTGTTTCTTGGAACCTGGGGTTCCTTGAATCACTGATGATAACGGTCATGCTAACAGCAATAATATAAAAGCCCACAGTGTGCAACTGTAAATTCTTCTTCCAAGCACCATCACTTAAAAACAGTTTTTAACCACAGATTTAAGCTAGCTGTTAGGCACTATGCACGATGATTTATATAAATCATATAATGCTGACAAAGCCCACAGTGAGTTTACCTATTCTTGTTCTACAGATGTGGAGAGTGCAGCTCAAAGAAGGTAAGGCATCTGCAGGGCCCCACAGCCATGGGCATCAGGACCAGGGCTCTGCCTTGCTGATGAGATTCAAGTCTGTGTTCTCAACTTTCATACCTGCTACCTGCTGTCTCATTTCATTGCTACCCTGAATGGAACGATATTTCTCTTCTTCAGATGAGGAACTTGAGGCAAATAAAGATTAAGTCATAAGTCCGAGGCTACACAACCAGGAATTCATTGGCCTCCTAATGTGCTTCCCCCCGACCCCACCTGATGGGAGTTGTTAACGATGCATACTAGACACAGCAAGTACAGCTGCTATATATGCTTAGGGCTGAATGAGATGCTGGGAAAAATCAATATTTCTCTGTTGTTGGACTGGATGACTGAGTACAAAAAGCGTTTTTCTTTTGCATGTGCACACTGCCCACAAAGTAGCTTCTTTGAAGTTGTCCTGCTGCTCTTCTAGTAGCCCCTCTGGCCCCCTTGTATATTCTAGACACTCTCCAGGGTGTCTGTCCAGCTAGTACCCCTCTTCTGAAAACTGCACCTTTCCAGTCCCAGCACCATGTTTCCATATATGACCCGCCCCTGTGGACATGGTTAAATTTTAATGCATCCTCAAATCAGATAAGACAATTGAATTCTCTCCAGACCCAGAGTTGGTGGGAAGTCACTTTACTGGCAGAACACTTGGGAAAAGGACCTTGAGCCTCTGCTGCTGAGGCCGCTGGAGTTGTCCTGGCCCCTGTCCTTTCTGAGACCTGGTTCAGCCATTCTCTGGGTTCTCTGTAAGACCCCATTAACCTTCCCATAATGTCTTCCTACCCCCTTTTCTCTAGTTAGATACATAAACCATTTAACCAAGAAAATAGTTTTGATTACAGAATCTATGGGGAAGATGTAGAAACTGCTTTTTTATTCAACAGTAGTTTCTCTCATTATGATTTTCAGTCTATTTTAAATATTAAAAGTCTTAAACCCAGGAAAGCTACCAAGATGAGTCAGCCTTGTTTGCCGTTTGTGAGTAAAGATGGGGAATTAAAATGCTTCTAATGTGTTTAAGTTCAGAGCTACCATGTGGTCCTGACCCAATCTTCTGTCATAATGATCAGCCATGCTGTACCTAGGCTAATCCTCTGCTGGTGAATTTGGTTCTGCATGGGGGATACTCTCTGGCAAGTGAACAGGTACCTGCTCCTAATGGCTTTGCAAGAGTTTGACTGGTAGTAAGGTTACATTAAGACAGTCTTTCATGGGCATGAGGCAGTGGCTTTCTGAATTTGAACCCCTAATATCTAGTTGTAGAATCTGGTCAAGTAGTCAGTGAGTTGTGTGGAGAATGGGAGTTGTATGGAGAATGGGAGTTTCATGGAGTGAGTTCTCTGTTTTTGCTGGTTTTGGCCTGGGTGCCAGTGCAGTTGGTTAAGAGTACGAGTACTGGTGGAAAAATGTCTGTCTTTATGATATGAATAACTAGGGAACTAAGTCTGGGGACGATACTCACTATAGAAAGAAGGGGGAAGATCCAGAAAGGTTACTCCAAGTTCTGTCGGCCCTCATCTTTGCTTGACCCTGAATTGTCTATGCATGGACGAGGCTCAAAGATGAACTAAAAACAAACAAATATTTGAACTAAGATGGGAGCCACTGCCCACCCAAAAACAGTTCAGTTCTAATCAAGTTAAGTGCCTGCTAAAATAAAAAATCCTACAGTCTTTATAGGAAAATGTCAGGATCCAGCATCTCCATATTTAACCTTCATTATATCGAGGATGTTGAACAGGTAAGACCCCCAAAAATGTGACCAATTCTCAAAGGAAAAGACCATTAACTCAGGCCAATACAAAAAAGTGACCTAGATGTTGGAATTAATGACATGAAATTTAAAGGAAATATTATAAATACCTCAATGATGTAAAGGATAATGTGCTTACTTACAATGAATGAAAAGATTAAAAATATCAGCGAGATGGGGAAAAATGAAAAAGAACCAGATTAACCTTGGAGCCCCAAATAAAATATCCAAAATTTAAAAATTCACTGGACAGATTTAACAGGAGAATGGAAATGACAGAGGAAAGAGTTAGTAAATCTGAAGATACAGCAATAAAATTATCAATTTTTGCTTTTGTTGGTTGTGCTTTTGAAATCTTAACCATAAAATTGTTGCCTTGACTAATGTCCTGAAGTGCTTTTCCTATGTTTTCTTCTAGTAGTTTTATAGTTTCAGGTCTTACATTTAAGTCTTTAATCTGTTTTAAGTAGATTTTTTGAATATGGTGAGAGATGAGAGTCTAGTTTCATTCTTCTGCATATGGATATGCAGTTTTCCAGGCTTGATTTATTGAAGAGGCTATGTTTTCCCAGTGTAAGTTCTTGGCAACGTTGTCAAGTCAGTTGGTTGTAAATATGCTGATTTATTTCTGGGTTCTCTATTTTGTTCCATTGGTCTATGTGGCTGTTTTTATACCAATACCTGCTGTTTCAGTTACTATAGCTTTGTAGTATATTTTGAAGTCAGGTAGTGGGATGCCTCTAGCTGTATTCATTTTGCTCAGAATTTCTTTGGCTACTTGGGGCCTTCTGTGGTTTCATAAGAATTTTTGGATTTTTCTTTCTATTTCTATGAAGAATGTCATTGTTTTTGTTCTGTTTTCAGAGACAGGGTCTTGCTCTGTTGCCCGTGCTACGGTGCAGTGGCACAATCATAACTCACTGCATCCTTGAACTCCTGAGGCTCATGTGATCCTCCTACCTCAGCCTCCCAAAGTTCTTAAATTACAGATGTGAGCATCATTGGTATTTTGATAGGTATTGTATTAAATATGTAGATTGCTTTGGGTATTATGGATATTTTAACAATATTACTTCTTTTGATCCATGAACAGGGACTATCCTTTCATGTTTTTGTATCTTCTGAAATTTCTTTCAACTGTGTTTTGTAGTTTTCATTGTAGAGATTTTCACCTGCTCGGTTAAATTAATTTCTATGTCTTTTTTATTGTGTAGTTATTGCAAATGAGATTGCTTTCTTGATTTCCTTTTTAGTTGGTTTGTTACCAATGTATGATGTGAAGAATAGAGAGTGAATAAGCAATGCCACAGGAACCTGTTAGATAATATAAAATAGTCTAATATATGTTATTGAAGTTTCAGAATGAAAGAAATGAAAGGAGTCTAAGAAAAAGTAAAGAAATAATGACACAAAACTTCCCAAATTTGACAAAAGATACAAATTACAGATTCAAGATGTTCAATAAATCACAAGCAGAATAAATATAAAAATAGCCATAGGCACATAGATGTGCTAATGACCATAAAAAGTTAAGGGAAAAAGCAAATGAGAGGGGTCAGAGAAAAATGACATATATATGTCACATATGTTACATATATACGTTACATATATGTCACACATATATTACACATATATGTAACACATATGTGTAACACATATATGTAACGTTATATATATATATATATACACACACACATATATATATATATATGTAACAGTGATTTGAATAAGGGCCAGAAATGATTAGAACAACATGTTTAAAGAGCCAAAGAAAAAAAATCAACTCAGAATTATATAAGCAACAAAAATAATTATTTAAGAATGAAGGCCAGGCACGGTGGCTCATGCCTGTAATCCCAGCACTTTTGAAGGCCAAGGAGGTAAGATCATGAGGTCAAGAGATCGAGACCATCCTGGACAACATGGTGAAACCCCATCTCTACTAAAAATACAAAAATTAGATGGGCACCACCGGTGGTGCATGCCTGTAGTCCCAGCTATTCAGGAGGCTGAGGCAGGAGAATCACTTGAACCCGGGAGGTGGAGGTTGCAGTGAGCCGATATCATGTCACTGCACTCCAGGTTGGTGACAGAGTGAGACTCCATCTCAAAAAAAAAAAAAAAAAAAAAAGGAATGAAGGCAAAATATATGTTACATTAAAAAACAACTATGGAATTTGTTACCTATACTGTAGTGCATCAGACCTGCACTACAAGAAATGCTAAGGATTCTTCTTCAGGCTATAGCAGAAGTGACACCAGATGGAAACTCTTTATTCCCAGAAAGGAATAAAGAGCACTAGAAGTGGTAAATATCTATATAAATGTAAAAGAGACTCTTTTTGTGTGTGTTAAAAAATTAGTTTATAGTACATGTGCCTATTTAAAACATTACCTTCTGGGGGTTTTTATGTAAGTAAATGTAATACATGTAACAATAGAACAAAGTATAGAAGAGAATAAATAAATTTATATGATTGCAAAGCTTTATGTAAAGTGGTACATATAAACTCTAAGTAGACTATTAAAAGTTAAGAGTTTATATTAATTTATAAGATTCATAACCTAGTACAACCACTGAAAAAAATGTGAAAAGTGTAGCTTAAAAAGTCAAGATAAAAATTAAAACAAAACTTTAAAAATTATTAACATGATCCAAAAATTTTAGGAAAAGAGGAACAACAACTACTCAATAAAAACACAACAAAAGAACACATTGAAACAGAAGGGTCAAGTTGAAAGTAAATAACAAAATAGTAGACTAAGACGTAACTATATTAAAATTACATTAACTATTGAGGAAGTAAACACTTCAGTTAAAAAGCAGAAATTGTCAGAATGTATAAAAATTAATGAATTAAAAATAAGTAAGAATATAGTAGAAGAGTTCAGCTGCTTGTTTATTTATGCAAACAGTGTTGTTATCAGGTTAAAATAATAGGTTATAAGATGGTATTTGTAAGCCTCATAGTAACCTCAAATTAAAAAAGATACAATGGATACACAAAAAATGAAAAGCAAGAAACTAAATAATATCACCAGAGAAAATCATCTTTACTAAAGGAAGACAGGAAAGAAAGAAAGTAGGAAGAGAAGATTAAAAAAAAAAAAAACACCGGAAAACAAATAACAAAATGGTAGGGGTAAGTCCTTACTTATCAAGAATAGCACTGAATGTAAATGGACTAAAATCTCTAATCAAAAAACATACAGGGCCTGAATGGACTAAAAAAAAAAATCTGCTGCCTACAAGAAACATGCTTCACTTATAAAGATACATACAGATTGAAAATAAAGAGATGAAAAAAGATGTTTCATGCCAATGGAAACTAAAAAAGAGCAAGATATCTATACTTATGTCAGACAAAATAGATTTCAAGACAAAAACTATAAGAGACAATGAAGGTCACTATATAATGATAAAGGGGTCAATTTAGCAGGAGGATATAACAATTGTAAATCTACATGCACCCAACACTGGAGCACACAGATATATAAAGAAAATATTATTAGAGCTAAAGAGAGAGATAGACCCCAATACAATAATATCTGGAGACTTCAATACTTCACTTTTAGCATTGGACAGATCTTCCAGACAGAAAATCAACAAAAAAAATCAGACTTAATTTGCATTATAGACCAAATGGATCTACTAGATAATCACAGAACATTTCATCCAATAACTACTGAATATACATTAGTTTCCTTAGCACATGGATCATTCTCAAGGATAGACCATATGTTAGGTCACAAAACAAGTCTTAAAATATGCAAAAATTGAAATAATATCAAGCATCTTGTCTGACCACAATGGAATAAAACTAGAAATCAATAAAGAGAAATTTTGGAAACTTTGTAAACACAGGGAAATTAAACAATGTGCTCCTGAATGACCAGTGGGTAAATAAAGAAATTAAGGAAATTAAAAAAAATTCTTGAAACAAATGATAATGGAAACACAACATACCAAAACCTATGGGATATAGCAAAAGCATTACTAAGAGGGAAGTTTATAACTATAAGTGCCTATAAAGAGGAAAAACTTCAAGTAAACAATCTAATGATGCATCTTAAAGCACTAGAAAAGCAAGAGCAAACCAAACCCAAAATTAGTCGAAGAAAAGAAATAAAGATCAGAGCAGAAATAAATGAGTTAGAAAGAATACAAAAGGCAATGAAACAAAAAGTTGGTTTTTTGAAAAGTTAAACAAAATGGAAAAACCTTTAGCCAGACCAAGAAAAAAAGAGAAGATCCAAATAAAATAATAAATGAAAAAGGAGACATTACAACTGTTACAGAAATTCAAAGGATCGTTAGTGGCTGCTATGAGCAAAGGTATGATGATAAATGGGAAAATCTAGAGGAAATGAGCAAATTTCTAGACACATACAACCTACCAAGACTGAACGAGAAAGAAATGTAAAATCTGAACAGACCAATAACAAGTAATAAGATCAAAGCCATAATAAAAAGTCTACTAGTAGGCCAGGCATGGTGGCTCACGCCTGTAATCCCAGCACTTTGGGAGGCCAAGGCAGGAGGATCATGAGGTCAGGAGTTCGCCCAGCCTGACCAATATGGTGAAACCCCGTCTCTACTAAAAATACAAAAATTAGCCAGGCGTGGTGGCGTACGCCTGTAGTCCCAACTACCTGGGAGGCTGAGGCAGAAGAATCGCTTGAACCTGGGGGGCAGAGGTTGCAGTGAGCCGAGATCGCGCCACTGCACTCCAGCCTGGGTGACAGAGTGAGACCCCATCTCAAAAGAAAAAAAAGTCTACTAGTAAAGAAAAGCCTGGGACCTGATGGCTTCACTGCTGAATTTTACCAAACATTTAAAGAAGAACTAATACCGATCCTGCTCACATTATTCTGCAAATAGAGATGGGAATACCTCCTAACTCATTCTATGAGGCCAATATTATGCTGATACAAAAACCAGACAAAGACATATCGAAAGAAGAAACTACGGGCCAATATCTCTGATGAATATTGATGCAAAAATCCTTGACAAAGTACCAGCAAACCAAATTCAACAATACATTAAAAAGATAATACATCATGACCAAGTGGGATTTATCCCTGGGATGCAAGGATGGGTCAACAACACAAATCAATCGATGTGATACATCATACCAACAGAATGAAGGATAAAAATGACATAATCATGTTATTTGGTGCTGAAAAGTATTTGACAAAATTCAACATCCATTTATGACAAAAACCCTAAAAATTGTGTATAGAGGGAACATACCTCAACATAATAAAAGCCATATATGACAGACCCTCAACTGGTGTCATATTGAGTAGGGAAAAACTGAAAGCCTTTTCTCCAAGATCTGGAACATGACAAGGATGCTCACTTTCAAGACTGTTATTCAACACAGTCCTGGAAGTCCTAGCTAGAGCAATCAGACCAGAAAAAGCAATAAAAGACATCCAAACTGGAATGGAAGAAGCTAAATTACTTTGTTTGAAGATATGATCTTATATTTGGAAAAACCTAAAGACTCCACAAAAAACTCTTAGAACTGATAAACAAATTCAGTAAAGTTGCAGGATACAAAAATCAACATAAAAAAATCAGTAGCATTTCTATATGACAAAACTGAACAATCTGAAAAAGAAATAAAAAATCCTATTTATAATAGCCACAAATAAAATGAAATATCTAGGAATTAACCAAAGATGTAGGTTGGCTATACGAGAAATATGAGAAAAAAGAAGAGGCATTTTATAATATTAAAAGGATCAATCATTAGGAAGACATAACAATCGTAAATGTATATGTATCCAATAAGAGACCTTAAAAATATGTAAAGCAAACAATTAAAAAATTAATGGGGAGAAAGACAATCCCAGAATTATAGTTGGATATTTAATACCTTTCAGCAATTGGTAGAAATAGACAAAAAATTAGTAAAGATGTAGAAGATTTGAACGTTACTATCAACCTTTATCTTATTGACATTTGTAGACATATAACCTAACAACTCCAGCAGGCACAGTTTTTTCAAGGATACATGCTTATCAGGATATGTTAGGACAAAAAAATCAATAAATCTAAAAAGTCTGAAATCATGCAGAGTATGCTTTCTGACAACATAGAATTAGGTTAAAAATTAATAGCAATAAGGTATCCATGAAAGTCTTAAGTATTTGAAAATTAAACAATCTACTTCTAAATAATTTTGGATGAAAGAAGAAATAGGAAAAAACATTTTGAAGTGAATGATAATTAAAATAAACATCAAAATTTGTGAGATTCAGCTAAATGAGTGTTTGAGAAATAATTATAGCTTTTATGCTTATCCTGGAAATAGAAAAAGGTGTGAAAACTCAAGGATCTAGGTTTCCCTCTTATGAATTAGAAAAACATCAAATTTAAACACCCAACATATTAAAAGGAAAAAGACAATAAATATAAGTTTAAAAATTGAGGCATAAGAAATGGAGATAAAACAGAAAATGATCAATAAAATCAAAATCTTGTTTTAAAATTGATACGCCACTATTTAATTTCTCAAAAAGGTAGAAGAAATAAAATACTGATATCGCCAAGCACTATCTATTCTACAATCATGAAAGGATAATAAAGGAACATTATGAACAACTTTATGCAATAAATTTGACAACTGAAAATGAACAAATCCTTTGAAAAATATAAATGATCAAAACAGACTGAAGAAGAAACAACAACAAAAATCCCAAATAATCCTTTGTCAATTAAAAATTTGAATTGAAAACAGAGAACTTTCAAAGAAGAACCAGGCACATAGATGGCTTCACTGGTAAGAATTTCATGTAACATTTAAGGTAAAATAAGATGAATTTAACATAAACTCCTTTAGGAAATAAAAGAGAAGGGAATCCTTTTCAAATAATGTTATAAGCCTAGTATTACCAGACAAACACATCACAGGAAAAGGAAACTCTGTAGCAATGTACCTTATGAATGTAGGTTAAGAATTCTTAACAAAATATTGGCAAATCAAATCTAGTAGGATGTATTCCAGGAAATCAAGGTTGGATTTAATATACAAAAATCAATGAATTTAACTCATCATATTAATAACGCAAAGGAGAAACTCCATGTGATCATTTCAGTGGACGCAGAAAAAATATTCTATGAAATCCAACTTCCATTTATGGTAAAATCTTCAGCAAACTAAGAATGGATGGGATTTTCCACAACCCGATAAGGATATCTACACAGAACTTTATATCTATATTCGATGGTGAGAGGCTGGATGTTTTTCTTTAAGGTCAGGAACAAGGCAAGGATGTCTACTCTCGGAATTTTTATTCAACATTAGATTAGGGTAGCCAGGCAGTGCAATAAGGCAGACAAACAGACAATAGTCATATAGAATTAAAAGAGGTAAAATTATCTTTACTTGCATACAACATGATAACATATGCTAGAAAATCCTAAAAGATAGAATAAGTGAGATAAAAAGGTTGCAGAATACAAAGTCAGTATATAAAAGTCAATTGCATTTCTATATATGAGCAATGGGCAATTGAAAAATAAAATTGAAATAACTCATTAAAACTCCATAAAATTACTAAAGAACAAATGTAATAAAAATGTGCAAGGTCCGTGCACTAACAACATGAAAACAATCCTGCCATTCCATCCACTCACAGAGACCGTGCCCTGGAGGGAACATAGGTGAGAGATATGAATGGCTATGATTCCTTCAATCCCCAAGAATCTAGCCCCACTGAAAGGGATTCTGGTGTTTATGGATATTCATTTTATATCCATAAGCATTTATATCCATAAACATTTTATATTCATTTCCTGTTTTTTGTTTTTGTTTTTTAAAATTGTATTTTATTATTTTATTTTTAGAGACAGAGTCTTGCCCAGGCTATGTTGCCCAGGCTAGATTTCAGCTCCTGGGCTCAGGTGATCCTACTGCCTCAGTCCTCTAAGTAGCTGGGTCTACAGGCACAGGCCATTGTGCCCAACATTCTTTTCCTTTTTAAAAAAATAAATACTGAATAAATAAGTGAGGAAGAAGGGGAACTAATGGAAATCATCACTAAGCAAACACCATAGTCACCATAGTAATAACTGTTGCAGACAAGACCCATTAATAAATGCTAAAGTGGGAACATATATACAGGTAGGATATCCACTTTTAACAGCATTGCCCCCAGAGGCAATCCAGTTTTAACTATCTGGGGTTGTGAAAAATAAAATCATGTATATATTGTATTTAATAGATAATTTAAAGGATTTTCAAAATTAATTTTGACCAACAATAATTTTCATTTAGGGTCCACTGTCAAAGCTAATTTTTGCATATACTATAACTTCATTGAACTTCAGGAGAACTCACAGAACAGTTTGTAAAGCATTTTGTGCTTAGAGACCTCTAGCAGGGAACTTACTACCTCACAAAGCATTCCATTCCATTTTGGACCACTGAAATTGTCAACTCTCCAAATGTGGGGTTAGCTTGCTATAACCTCTGCTTATCGGCCCTGGCTCTCCACTGAGGAGCCATGTTGAAATATTATCACCTTTCCCCTGAGAGTTCTTCAAATACCTGAAGGGCTATTGGGTTCACATCTCGTCTTTTATTTCCAGGACTAAACAATCCCAGTACTAGATTCATTTTTTTCTTGTTTTCTATAATCAGATCAGCAATGGCCTGTGGTCTCAACCCAAAGCAAATGCTGAATTAGGTAATGGTACATTGGCACCACCTTTCCTCAGGTTTCTTCAGCGATTGCAAAGTACAAGAAGCCCTGAAATATCAAGAGTTCCTGCACTAGTTATGTTTCTTCACTTGGGCATTGCAAACAGTAGCAGTGGCGGAATTCTTTGGATCTTTGACTGACCTCCATCCCCAACCTATTGTCAATCTGCTTTGGAAGATACGCTATCCCTTGACAGCTCTCTAATTAACTTGGCTCCCATCTCAATGGGACTTTGTAACCTCATGGAAGAGAAATGGCCTCCCCAATCCTTACTCCCCTTGCTTCAGCCTCCATCAGGGAGCTATTCAGTATACAAGAATAATCTTTAATAAGTTGCATATTTATTCTGCAAGCAATCTCTGCTGTCTCTGTTAGTAGACTGAGTCCTCTCCCAGGCTTGTACAAACAGCTCTCCTGGAAGCAGTCATGCTTTATGAACTGTGCATAGAGTAAGCACATCACTGGCTGTCAGCTTCTGAACACTCTTTTACCCTGAAGTGCTAGAAAAAGAAGGAAAGACAAATAGTTCTGAAGAAATGCTTCAGTAAAGTTAGCAAACAGAATGGCTACACAGAATCCTCTGATGCCTCTCATTTTGTTAATGCCATTAGTCAATATATCTAGTCTCTCTATGAAGTCCAAAAGGAGGATGGGATCAGTCTCTGTAGGAGTTCTTCCCTTCTGGGAGTGAGAAATAATCTAGACTGGCGGTCAGTGACTTGCGTCCTAATCTTGACTCTGCCTTGAGTTGCCTTCAGTGATGGTTTCAAGCAGTTCCTTCTTTTCTAGGAATGGGCTACAAGAGCTTATAGGGTAAACAGCCTGTCAACTACCATTGCCAGGATGAAATGTAACAGCAACAACAATGGCATGCAAAGAATGAGAAAATCATTTATTAGGTAAATCTGTTTTGTACGTTACATTTTTCAAAGGTCCTTTTTACCCAGTTGAGCCTCTTAGTGTCTTTATAAGCAATTAGAGGCAGATGATATTAACTCCATATGAGCCCAGTAGAAAATTCTGCTGCAGAATTTGAGACAGTAATTCAAGATAACTTAATAATTAGGGACAGATCTGGAGACTAAGACTTGTCAGGTCTAATTGCTGTGCAGGGTCTTTTCATATACTGTTCTGCATATATCATCATTATCATCCTCCAAATAATCACTATCTTCAGAAATATTTATGGAGCACTTAGTAAGTGCCAGACTTTGGGCTACATGTTTTGCAAACATTATTTCTATACTGAATCATTAGAAACCCGATGAGGAAGAAATACAGCTATGGAAAACTGAGGATCCAACAGGTCAAATAACTTGCTTGAGTTGTCACTCTCAGATCTATAATGAACTGATTTGTAATTTTGAGCAACTGACAACCTCTCTGACTCTTAGTCTATTGGGTTAAATGATATCTACTTCTGGTACTGCAAGGGCTAGCTAGCATGGGACCATCTGTGCTAATGGATAGGAGAGTATCTTGAAATATGTGAGGTGACAAATGACAATCTTTTTCTCATGGTTAGTAAATGGCAGATCCAAGCCTGTGCACAGGTGTAGACATAGTGCTATATTGCATGCTAATGACATCCCCCCTAATGCTGTTACTCACATCCTTCACTGCTGGTTGTCTGCACAGAAGACACAGGAGTCCATAATAAAAACTTAAATTTTTGCCACTTGAAAAAAAAAAAGGCTAGCAAGTCCTCTGAACCCTTCCTCAGTACCAGGGCTTTTATCCTCATACTGGGCACATAGGCAGCAAGGAGTTCACTCTGGTTGGTGATAAAGAGACAATAGCTATTTTTGGCTATACCTAAGATTTACCTCTTCCATACAGGTCTTTGCTTTTCACTTGCTGAGCAAATAGGTATTGTCAAAGAAACACGTTCTTTTCTCCCCTGTCATTCTGAACTCAAGTGCAGCCACTTCAGATGAGGGCAGTGTCTACTTCTGGAAAAGGAAAGCTGAATAGAGCAGGGGAGACCCTATGTAGGTGCACAAGGAAAGAAAAGAAGGGAAGAGTTGTTTAGGGAATTTGGGGGGAGGATTTGGGGATTTTTTGGGACTTCCTAGTTTCTGGTTCTGGATGAGTTCTAAGATCATTTTGGCTGGTGACCTTAGAGTGATTGAAAGGTATGATGAAATAAGTTTTAATTGCTTTTTGAAATTATTTATTTCAACAAAAGTTCCTAAGGCAATCCCTTGACTGCATGAAGGTGTTACCTCCAGATACTTTCAGCAGAAATAGGAGGAAAGGGAATGAAGTGATAATTAAAAATCATTATAATCGCAAAGATGATAGAGGTAATAGTGTGTATTTAATGCTTACTATATGCATAGTACTTTACTAAACACTTTATACACAGTATTTTATTAAATCTTCACCACAACCCTATGGGACTGGCATTATCGCTGCCCCATTTTGTAAGTAATAAAACTGAAGCAGAGAGTTTCAGGAACTTGCCCACAATCCTGAAACTAGTTCATGGATGGATGAGCCAGGATTCAAATATAGGCTGTGGTCTGATTATGCAGTTTCAACTCTTAACCCACATGCTTACACAGGGTGTGTATCTTAAGCCCTTCGGAAATTAAGCAGGAATTATTGGAGCAAGTTGACAGGAAAACGACAATTTAAAAATATAAAGTAAAAAATAAATCATGCCTCTTGAGAAGAGAAAACCTGTCTGGGTGAGCTACACTGTCTCAGCCAAGACACTGGACATTTATCTTTCTTCCAGTTTTATAATTGTGGGAAGAAAAATCTGACGAAAGAAGGGAGTTGGAGGCAATAGGAGACTGTTAGAGAGGTCAATCAATGCAGGATTATTAAGCTAATTTTTTTTTAGCAACTGACTTGAGGTCAAGTGGCCAAGAGCAAGTGGAATGACAACAAACCACTATGATCTTGGTCTCAATCTATGAACCAGGGCGTCTAGACAAAGGATATGCTTAGCAGTACAAAAATACATTGAGTTAAACTTTTAATTTCAAAGTTATCTTTGACTATAAGGGATTATAAGACTATAGCTAAATATTACCTCTGAAATAATCAAATTCAAAATTCTCAGCTGGGATTTATTTTGTCCCCTTCACCTCAGGGGATATTTGGCAATGTCCAGAGACAGTTTTGATTGTCGAAAGTAGGGGAGGGAGAGCACGCTAGTGGCCTGTAGTGGGCAGAAGCCAGCAATGCTTCTAATCATCCTATAATACCCAGGGCAAGCTCCCACAACAAAGAATTAACCAGTCCAAAATGTTAATAATACCAAGATTGAGAAATCTGTTCTAGTTCAACTCTCTAGAAGCTTGGTATTTAAGTTCCAAATTTTATTTAAAAGTCATATTTTATCAGTGAAGTATTGAAAAAACAAAGCTCAAGAGAGGTTTAATTTATTATTTACACTGTCAGCCTCAGCCTCATCATACGAATTAAATACCTATGCCTGGTTCCAGACAAACCAGGTACCAGCAGTGCCTTTGCAAATCTGAGATGAGCCATTACCAAATTCTCAGAAGGTGCTGGAAACACCCTCTGGCCTGAGGCTCAGAGGCCCAGGATTGCTGTGTCCCTTGCATCTCCATACTTCCTTAAGCCGACCCTACTTCTGAATGCTGTCATTTCTCCCAGACCCCAGGTTGGAACAACTCTCTCCCTTTCCCGGAGACAGCAGACAAGGTTGTTTCTATCTGGCTGGGGACTGTGGCTCTCTGACTGAGTTCCCAGAGCCCAGGGTTCTCTGGAGTTGCCTCATGGGTTGCTGAGAGGAAGATTGCAGGCAGCGGGCCCCAGATTCCCATCTCCCTCAGTCAATGAGGCTTTACTTTTGTCTATACAAATACAAGAAAATTTGGGTCTGTTTGTTCCTAACCACAACTAACAACTGGACAGGTTTTCACCAAATTTGTAGAGTAACACTTGGGATATTCTCAGTTATAATTTAGGCTTTGAGGCAGACATGAATTTCTATTTGAAAGACCCTATGAAGCATTTCAATGACAGATTAGCTGAGACTGAAGTACAATGACAGGTCTTTGTAACTGTCTATTGAGACAGACAATTTACATATGTTAAGTCTCCGTAGATAGTAAATGCAAACGACGATTTCAAAGTTGACTACAAATTACAGGCTGTGAGACACGAATTCTGCTGTCAGCTCCCATTTGGAATCAGCTGTTTCTCATGTGGGCACCCCTGTGGTGTACCAGGGTGAGGAGCTGAGCAGCAGGGCAGGGAAGATTGCAGGCCCTGGGGGCAGCCTGCCTGACTCCCACACTGAGCTCTGTAGCCCTGAACAAATTACTTAACATCACTCTGCCTCAGTTTCCTCAAAGGGTTGTTGTAAGGCTTAGATGAGTTACCACAGGTAAGGTCTCAGAATAAGTAGTGGCTGGCCCAAGGCAAGGATTTGCTGCTGCTATTATTACCATTGTCATTATTGTTATGCCTTAGTAAAACATGATGAACACCAGCCCATTCTATTTTCTATGCTGGCATTCTATGTAGGATTTCACTTTTTTTTAAAAAGGTTTTCTGCTAAAAATAAATATGAAAAACCACTGGGCAGCTTTATTTTCATATGGAGTTTTTAAGACTAAATATCATTCAGTATTAAAGCCAGATTCCTCTTATTTTAAGGCATGAATCAAAATTGTCACATGACTGAGGAAAACAAAACTCCATGATGCAATTTTAGGCCAACTGATGCAGTATTCAGGAGGGACCATCCTATCTCTTCTTTACCTTTCATATTTACAGAAATCTATGCAATCCTCCAGGCATTTGCATTCATCCTCACTGTCCTTCATTAAAACTTGTTAAGAATATCAGCCATTGCAGGTGAGTCAGCATCATGTGTCCTATCTGGATCTGTAGCCTGATTGATAGAAAGGTCTCAGAAAAGCATCAGAAACACTTATAGAAGACTATGCCACCAATAAACTTAGTGACCCTGGACTGCCTGGGTTCAGATGCTGGGCTTTGACACATACAAGCTCTGTGACCTTGGCAAGCTATGGAATATCTCAACCATGGTTCAGAGAGTAGATGTTACTCACCCAGGTTCACACAGAAAACTGGCAAAGCTTGGTCTGGAACCCACAGCTCATGACCAAAGGTTGTGAAATAGCTGCCCATGGGCTGGGCCCAATTTGCACATGGACTTAGTTTAGACATCACAGTGTTTTGAAAAATACTTGATTCCACTGCCATAATTTAAATGAATTGGGAGATTTTACTTAAAACTCTAGAATCCAGCTCTTCTCTGTATCCTTGTTAATGAAACAAGGGTAATTATATCTACCTTCCAGTATTGGAATGAGGACTAATTGTGAATAATTCATGAAAGCTCTTAGGACAGTACCTCACATGTAGAATATGCATTATTGATTAGCTGATGTTGTCAGTAACATTCAAGCCAGGATTCCAGGATTTTTGTCTCCACTCTACTGCTGTCTTTCTTACCCACTAGATGCTATCTCTCTCACATCCCTGCATACAGAAGCCATGCTTTTAACCACATGCTGCACAGCCTCACTCAGAGTGGAGCCCTGGTGGGGGTTATATATGAGGAGAATTATTCAGCGTTAGGCTGGGGCAGGCACTTTCCAGTGGCTTTGAATTGATCCACTTACATAATGTTCAGGACAAGTGGCTGAGGTCTCTTAATTTTCTTTCTTTCCTTTTTTTTTTTTTGAGACTGAGTCTTGCTCTATTGCCCAGGCTGGAGTATAGTGGTGTGATCTTGGCTCACTGCAATCTCTGCCTCCCAGGTTCAAGTGATTCTCATACCTCAGCCTCCCGGGTAGCTGGGATTACAGGCACCTGCCACCACGCCCAGCTAATTTTGGTATTTTTAGTAGAGACTGGATTTCACCGTGTTGGCCAGGCTGGTCTCGCACTCCTGACCTTAAATGATCCACCCGCCTCAGCCTCCCAAAATGCTGGGATTACAGGTATGAGCCACTGTGCCTGGTCTTTCAATTTTCCAACGTGTAAGTTTTGTTGCTTAAACTAATATGTAAGCATATTAGTGTGGGCCTGGCATCCTATACCTCTGAATATTCACTACCATTTATTACCATACTCTATTGGATGATTAAGACCATCTCATTCCTCAAAAGGAAATTGTGGCCCAGAGATGGGAGGTAAATTGCCCGAGGTCACACAGCAAGTGGCAAGACTGGGATTTGAACCAATGGCTTTATAGCAGTGGTGGCAAATTGACTGCCCATGGCTCTGCCTTATTTGCAGATGGTCTTAGTTTGTTGTGCACCATATTTGGGGAAAAAAATAGCTGCCTAGGTTTTAAACAAAACTGAGACATTTCACATAGAAATCTGGATTCTTGGCTTCTCATTTGATCTGGCATCCCTGAGCCTCAGTCCTACAAGGTGACAACAGCTGGGGCTGAGTATTTTTTGCTCTTATCCAGGGCATGTACTCCAGTTCATTGTTGTCCCAATGATTCCAGGCTAAAGGACAGTCACCATTTTCTTATTCTAGAACCTATTATGTTACCTGCCTGGCCTCTGCAGGCATTTCAGTTTGTGACCCTGGATTCCTTCCTAGTACTTTTTCAAGCTTCCCAGGGCCTTCTACAGTGATGTACTGAATTAACCAGATAGCAGTCCTCTAAACAGCCTGGCGTGGGTTGAATCCTGTCCCACCAAAAAATATGTTGAGGTCGCAATCCTCAATATTTATGAATGTGACCTTATTCAGAAATAGGGACTTTGCAGATGTAGTCAAATTAAAATGATGTCTTACTGGATTAGGTAGACTCTAATCTAAAATAATATGTCCTTATTAGAAGACACAGACACAGCAGAAGGGTGGCCAGGGGAAGACAGAGGATAGATTGGAGAGAGGCTACCACAAGCCAAGGAACACCTAAGGCTACCAGAAGCTGGAAGAAGCATGGAAGGATCCCCACTTAGAGGCTTCAGAGGGGGCATGGTCCTGCCAACACCTTGATTTCAGATTTCTAGCCTCCAAAACTGTAAGAGTACATGTCTGCTGTTTTAAGCCATCTGGTTTGTGGTACTTTGTTACAGAGGCCCTAGGAAGCTAATACACAGCGCTGTCATAGCTGTCTTTCATTTTTTGTTCTCATAGCTTGCTTTTATCTTTGTCCTCCCTTTGCTTTCTCTTCTAATTCATCTTCTGGCACATTTCTGTCATCCTTCTCCCTGTTTGCCTCAAGTCCACCATAGACCCTTAGCCAGACTGATGGCTCCCAGGATGAAGAGGTATCTGGGTCCAGCTGAGCATTGAGAGAGAAAAAAAAAAAAAAAAAAAAAGCGGCCGGGGTTGTGGCGGGGAGCGCAGAGGGGTTTCGCTATTTGCAGGTGTTGATGTGGCTTACAGCTGGGTGGCACAGTTGCCAGGCTTCCAGAAACAGCTGCAGGAATCTGAAACATGCGGTGTAGATTACTGCAGTACCGCTTTTGGAAGCTGCGAGAACAATAAGCTTGCCCAGGACTTCGTGTGAATTGGCCCAGACACCTCCTCTCCCTCCCCAGCATCTTGAAACTGACTTTAACAGGCTTCTTAACATTCAGCACAGCCCTTGCTAGTGAAGCTTAGACAGGCGGTATGCTCCCTACAAAGCAAGGTGCTGACAGCTTTTTTCTTTTCCCTTCCTCATTGCTTAATCTATCCACTTCCTGATACTAATGGATTTTTAAATGAGCCCAGGACAATTGATAGCATTTCCCAATTAAAACCAAATACGCTTCATCCACCCTTCACACAGCCACTGGGTACAAAAGAGTGCTGGGGAGCACAGGCCCAGCTAGACATCTCTCTCTAGTTCTCCTGCCTCCTGCTCTCGGCCTGCAGAGAGGGCTGCCCACTCTCAGTAGACCTGGCTCCTGCAGGGGTGCTTCAAGGTGCAGGAGTAACTTCCAGATGCCAGCTGAAGTGATGCTGGCTGAGATTTCTGAGTAGTCACAAGGCTAGAGTCACAGGCAGGATTTTTTTCCAATCCTCTGTGATGTTAATTGGTTTCATAACTACTAATTTAGATGCTTCCTTCAGGACTGAGGGAAATTATTATGCAGCCATAGTAATTCATGCAAGTTTGAGGGAGGGTGGGCTAAGCATCTGGGGAGAGCATAACATCTTATTTTTTATTATTATAAATTATTAGGAATAAAATAATGTAGCTACTGCTTGAGTGCCTACTCTGGGCTAGGCCCTGCACTTGGCCCCCCGTATAAATGACCTCTAATATTCATAGTAATGTTTGGGAGGAATGATCTCTTTTGTACAGACAAGGAAATAGACACCCTCAGAAGTTAAATGCTTTATCCAACACCACAACCTAGTAAATGTCAGAGGTGCATTGAGGTAGCCTGAATCCAAATCCATGTTCTTTCTGCGACTCCAGAAGTGAGTTATTAGTATTACCGGAGAGAACATAAAGTACTATATTTGGGAACTGTGCTCAAAGTTATACCTTAGACAGTTGACACACAGTGAGGGTGCAGGGAGAGATTCATTCACTGTCTCATTCATGTGGCAGAAGAAATGCCTGGGAGTGACAGCTCTGTTACACATAAGGAATTCTATCTTCTCAGAACTTGTTACCCTCCTACAGATGGTTCAAGATTACTCTGAGCAAATGCTTCCCAGAGAGAGCTAGACACGCATGGCAGGGCCACAGGAAGAAGGAGCTGGGGGGTTCATGCCTCTTCTTTCCACAACCCAGCTGCCCTCCTCATACTGTGATAGGAAACCCAACACCTGTTCCAGTTTCCACCCCTCCTTCTCAGGCCTTGTCTTATTTATCCCTCATTGCCACCTGGTGGGGTGGGGCTCACGACTGTCACTATCATCCCTCCAATACATAGAAGGAAAATGAGAATTTAAGCAACTTGCTTAAGATGAACACATCACCTAGTTGTGGGGCTGGGTCTCATACCTGGCATTTAAAATGGCAGAAACCAAGATCTCATGTGACTGTATGTAAAAATGAGTTCAGCCTTTGAAGAAAAGCTGTGGACCACTAGAAGATGATGAAGAGTTTAACACTGGACTTCCTGGAAGAAAGAACAGGGGTAAGTAAGCATGTGTGTGGATCACAGGAGGGATCCTTTTGCCAGCTGGTCGGCCACCACCAGGAACTACTCATATAGGCCACACCCTATCTTCATGGCACTCTACCATGTGCCACCTTTAGCATTCTTGCTGTAAATTTCTCTGAGCCCGAATGAGAATGTTGAACTCCACAACAGCTAAGTTCCTGGTGCGATTACCAACGGTGAAATTAAATTTCCTCCTTCTTTTACGGGTATGGCTCACCTCCAAACTTTCATGGGCAGGTAGCAGTAATGAAAGGTGTAGAAGGTATGCAGGTTTTGATTAAAGATGGAGAATAAAAAGATGTTCTGAACTGTTTTGTTGTGGTTGCTCTTACGTACCCCATATTGGGGTCTACATGAAATCTCATTCTATAATAGAATCACTCATGCCATGTCCTAAGCTAAACATGTCATCTTCTCATAGTAGTCCATGACACCTGTTTCAGACTCTGGACATGCCCATACACAAGCTCACACAGAAGCTTGACAAGGGCTATTCTAAAGGCTTAACCTGGCCTGACCAACCTGGCCCAACCTGGCTTCTTGGTAATCAAGCAAATAGCCCCAGCCCGCTCCTCCATCACTGACTCCTGTTTAGTGAGTGGCACTATTGTTCACTCAGTCATCCAGCAACATGGACTTCATTTTTCACTTCTCTCTTTCACCCATAATAACTATTGTTGGTTCTAAGTCATAAAATTTCCAGAACCCATACACATTGCTTAATCCCCACTGCTGCCATTCTTGTCTCATCCATGACCCACACTGTTTCACTTTAGAATGTCCCCTCTTTCCCTCCACCATCACTGTTTGGCTACAGAACCATCCTCCACTCTGCTGCAGGTATGATGTTTTCACAAACCTGCTTCACATGCTTTAATGGCTCCTTATTACGGTCCAGATAAATTGCAGCCCCTTAAACATGACTTATAATAAGTGACGTCGTAATTCAGAACCTGCTAACTTCTCCAGCCACACTCATTTTTTGCCCTAAGCCCTCTCAAGCTCCACTCCAGCCGGAAGGAACTTCCAGAAGTCTTCCAAGCTGAGGTGTCTCACTTCTCAGGGCCTCTGCATGGTTCACTCTCTCAACCAGAAATGCCCCAGGACTTTTTCACCTGCTCTCCCCTACACTTTCTTTAGATTCTAGCATAGACATTTCCTAAGAGAAATCTGCCTTCCACCCATCCCTCCAAACACCAGTGTCAGTGCCTTCTGCCCCTGCCTGCAGTGTGCCCTGTGCAGATGTCCTGGCAGCTCTGCTCATGCAGTCATAGCCTGTTTACCTGCCTTTCTCTTCCAGACGGAGGGCTCTGAGAGGCCACAGCATGTGCATTATTAAGCACAGCACCAGGCCTGAAGTGGACACTCAATACATATTTATTGCTTTCCTTTCCTCCTCTCTCTGTTTTATTGGCACTGACCACATCAGCCACAGTCTCTTCCCCTCAAATATGTCCCCAGCATCCCCAGGCTCATTGCTCCCCCTTTTTCTCTCTCTCATGTTCTCCTTTTCACTCCTAAAAAGGTGTTTCAGACTCATGCTATGAAATGTCCCTTCAAAATATTTGACAAAAAACAGAGAGAAGCTTAATGTTGTTTTTCCCTCAAGTCTTCCACAGTGACAGGATGAAGTAAGCAGGTAGTGGATCTGAGTTGCCATGGAAACTGATAGCGGGCTAGTCCTTTCACTTTCTCTGTTGGGGGAAAGCATATCTCTTCCTATAACTAGGAAAAGATGAGGATTTATCCTACTGTCTGCAAAATACCTAATCACCCAAAGGACTGGTTCTCGGTGACCTAGTGCTTTCATGCTCTTCCGGAGACTCTTGGCTGCTGGTCAGAATGATCCATCAGAACTGATGTGTGTCACTGGGGCCATTTCCTTGTCCACTCTGGAACTTCATGAAAGCTTGGCAGGAGGAATTGTAAAATGTTTGACACAAAGGGTCTGGAGAAAAGAAATGTGTGTGTGCACAGTGTACTTAAGGAATGTACATCATGCACATGGATGTGTGCGTGTTTGTGGTGGGGGACAGGAGAAAGAAAAAGTATATTTCACATTTTTGTCCTGGCTGAACTAGGTCATTAGATATAATAACTAAGCAGCTCTCTGAACATGAAGTTCTAACTGTAAGGATCAGAAGAAGATTCTCTAAGGCCCAGGATGAGCGTACATCCCCCTAATTGGCTATATGTGTAGGAGTTAAAGACGGCTGCGGCTGCTCATAGGCATTTTTGACTCTAAGTAGGGCAACCACAATTCCAATTCTTAAAGAAAAAAGGATCTTCACATAAAAAGGCATTTGTGCATGCAAGAAAATAAAGATAAACCACAGCCAATTCAAACTCCAGGGGGCAAGTCCCCCTACTTTTTTTTTTTTTTTTTTTTTCAGGAAAAACAAAAACTATATGATTTCTTCCATTTGTAGAATCTTTCCATTTCCCTTTGTAGCTTCTCACTGGGGTCATCAATGCTATGAGGTGAGCATAGTGGATTACCCTAAAGTCCAGAGAGGCTAACTGACCTGTGAAAGGTTACAGAAGCAGCTTGTGACAGGCTTAATGAGGACCTAGGTCTGCAAATTTGTAATCCAATGACTATTCCACTTAGCATACAAGGACTCCCTCTCAAAGATTTGCCTTTCAGGGTCCTTTCAAGCTCTCCTTATTTTCTCTGAGTTTGCCTTATTATCTGACTTCGAATCTAATTCTACAGACAGACACCATTTTATCTTTTTGGGTTAAAGAATCTTGAAAATTTCGTTCTTTTTTTCTTAATCATTAAATGAATAGAGAAATGGATCGTTGGGTAGAAAGAAGGATTTTTTGAAGTACTGAAAAATTTGGATTTTTCACTTTGGAAAGTAGACAGCTTAAATTCAACATGATGAAATGCATCAAAGCACAAACCAGTGAAGTCAACGCGGGGATGTGGGCTTTTCATGAGATATGCAAATACAACAATACAGAGGCTTCAGTGAAGAAAGTAACTTTAGGGAAGAAGTTTTTAAAGTGTTAGTCAAAGAACATTTGGGGTTTCTAAGAAATACTTCGGGGACAGCTGTAGGGATCATGGGGTGTGTGGGGTTTGGTTGGATAGCCAAACTTTACTAGCTTCATTTTTTAACCTACACCCATCAGTTCCTCTTACTTTCTGCTTTAAGAATTACATTTGCATGCCAAATTTAGTGTGAGTAAACATAAATTTGAAAATCAGGCATTTAGAAAAATGAAAATACTGATTCATATAACAGCCAATTAAATTACTGAACCCATTAGATTTAGGAGTGTGCCAGGGGATGGTTAAGACAGAATCATTGATTCAAAAAGTTTGGACCATTTTCTGAAGGAAAAGTCAAAGGATGGCTGCCAGAGGGTGAAGCCGTGCTTATCTAAGTTTACAGTGAGGAAACGTCGTTCCTCCTTCTAAGATACATACATACCATGGGTGCAACTCAGTATGATAAGTTTAAATCCCTAGCCTCGATGTTGCTCTAGTGTAGATGGCACTCTGCTCGTTTTGAATACCTTTTCTATAAGCACCCTTGCTGTTTACGTGGAAAATTGCATGCTTGCTCCTGAGCTGGCAGGAGGGTTAAAGAAGTAGCAAGTACTCAGAATCAATTAGCTTTGATTTACAAAGCAACATCACTGATATACATAATTACAATCTCACATTAGTTATTATTCTCTATTTGCTTTGCTGAGCAACACACATGTAGAATGTGTCATTCCTACTGTGATCTGAAGAATATTGGGGTTCCTTGGAAATTCTTAAGGGGCTGCAGGAGGGAGAAGTTGTTTAAAACAAGAGAGGGTTTTAAATGAACAATGCCTTCTATTTTCCCAACAGCTATTATGTGGCAGACATTATAACAAATAACTGCAACAATAATAATGATGGTAGCTAACATTTATTGAGTCCCCATCTTTTTCCTGGTACTGTTGTAAATGTTTTACATGCATTAACTAATTTACCCATATACTACCCTTAGAAGCTGGATGCTGTTATCCTTATTTTGTAGACAAGAAAACTGAGGCACAGAGTGTTACAAAATCAGTGATGAGGTCAAGACTGAAACTCTGTCTGGCTTCTGATCCCATGATTTGAACCACTTTACTATGACTTCTTATTGTCCAAGGTTCTTCAAAGAAAATAGCCTATTAAACCCTTACAACAAGTATCCTATATTACAAAAGAGAAAACTGAGTTTCCCAAAAGAAACTTGCCCAAGCTAAACTTCATATAGCTGGAAACTACACAAATGGGCTTTGAGTCCAGATTTGAGTATAAAGTTTGTGGTAATTTCTACTATAGCAGGCAGCCTCTCAGGTATAATATAAATTATACCGTTTTCTTAAATTTAATATATACAGACATAGAGAAAGCTGTTGTTAAAATATAATAAAAATCTGTCAAGAAACATCGTTGTCATCTTCCCAAACACTGTCCATATAAATTCTTAACTCTCAAACCCATGCTTAACCTATACTCAAGAAGAGACTTTCTGGGAAATAAATCTGTCTTGGTGAATTGTGGTCTTTATGTGGCTCAGGATTTCACTGATCATGGGTCAGGAAAGAGACACTGAAAAGTCAAAACAAATAAGCTTTCAGGACATGAAATCAGGGGTATAAATAAAGATGTGAAATGAGACTCAAGGATGAGGTATGGCAAGGGTCTGTGGAAATGAAAGATGTGCTCAGACACTGTCATTTGGCAGACTGGGACTCAGGTGACCTCCAAGCTATGCCTTTGACTCTAAAATGATTGGTGTAACTCAATCCATACTTAATGATGAAGATTACCCAAGACAAGGCCACCAATGTCACCAATGTGCAATATCTAAGCAATTATTGCCTTGTTAGTTCTTTGTGGATGGGCAGGCTAATCACCAAATGACTATACCAGCAGAACCCTCCTAGTGATGACAGGGCTTTGGAGGTCTCAGGGGCTGGCACTAAAAGAAGGCACTCATGTGGCCACTGTAGTTAGCACTACAGGATAGACACAGATGCCACAGCCCTTCAAATGGGAAAAAGGCAGCCAAAGATCACCAATGTGTCACCTTTTATTTATTTCATTTTTCTACGGTTTTATTGAGGTATATTTAAGGTATAATACACTACACATATAGTCATGCTTCACCCAGCAAAGGGAATACATTCTGAGAAATGCTGTAATAGTCCATTTTCACACTGCTATATCTGTATTAGTCTGTTTTCATATTGCTATAAAGAACTACCTGAGACTGGGTAATTTATGAAGCAAAGAGGTTTAATTGACTCACAGTTCTGCAGGCTTAACAGGAAGCATGACTGGGAGGCCTCAAGAAACTTACAATCATGGCAGAAGGTGAAGGGGAAGCAAGCACCTTCTTCACATGGTGGCAGAAGAGACAGTGAAGGGAGAGGTGCCACACACTTTTAAAGGATCAGATCTCCTGAGAACTCACTCACTTTTACAAGAACAGCAAGGGAAATATCCGCCCCATGATCCAATCACCTTCCACCAGGCCCCTCCAATTCGGCATGAGATTTGGGCAGGACACAAATCCAAACAATATCAGTGTCATTAGACAATTTCGTTGTCGTGTGAACATCTCAGAGTGCATTCACACAAATCTAGATAGTATAGCCTATTACACACCTAGGCTATATTGTATAATATAAATATGTAAAATATGATATTATATTGTATAATCTAAACATGTAAAATATATATTATAGTCCGGGCGCGGTGGCTCACGCCTGTAATCCCAGCACTTTGGGAGGCCGAGGCGGGCGGATCACGAGGTCAGGAGATCGAGACCATCCCGGCTAAAACGGTGAAACCCCGTCTCTACTAAAAATACAAAAAATTAGCCGGGCATAGTGGCGGGCGCCTGTAGTCCCAGCTACGCGGGAAGCTGAGGCAGGAGAATGGCGTGAACTCGGGAGGCGGAGCTTGCAGTGAGCCGACATCCCGCCACTGCACTCCAGCCTGGGCGACAGAGCGAGACTCCGTCTCAAAAAAAAAAAAAAAAAAAAAAAAATATATATATATATATATATATATATATATATATATATATTATAATTTTATGGAACCACTGTCATATATGTGGTCTGTCATGTACCAAAATGTCATTAGGAGGTGCATGACTGCATCTAAAGTGAACAATCTGATGAGTTTTGACATATGTATACATTCATGAAATTATCATTGCAATCAAGATAATGAACATATCCATCAACCCAGAAGCTTCTATTTTCCCTTTTATAAGTCCCCACAACTCCCCACCCCTGTTATCCAGGCAATCACTGGTTAATTTCTGTTCTATAAATTATTTGCATTATGTATTTTTTTTTTATTTTTGGCATGGGGAAGGTCTACCTTTTTTGAATCTTAATTATTTTGAGTTTGATTCATATTGTTGCATATGTAATTCTTTCCTTCTTATTGTACAGATATACCACAAATTGTTTAGTTACTTATTGATATTGGGTTTTGATAGTTTTTGGCTGTATAAATAAAGCTACTCTGAACGTTTGTCTATAGGTCTTTGTGAGGATATGTTTTTCTTTTCTCTTGGATAAATACTTAGGAGGGCAATGGCTTGGTTGAATAGTAGGTATATGTTTAACTTTTTAAGAAGTGGCCAGATTGTTTACAAAGTGATTTCACCATTTTGCATTCCCAGCAGCAGTGTATGAGCATTCCAGTGGCTCCACATCCTTGTCAATACTTGGTATAGTGTTTTTAATTTTTAGTCATTCTAGTGGGTTGTAGTGATATTTCATTGTGGTTCCAATTTTCATTTCCTTATAGACTAACAATGTTGCGCTTTTCATGTGTTTATTTGCCATCCGTAATTTTTTTGATGTGTCTGTTCAAATCTCTTTTTAAAATTTTTAATGGTTGTGGGTACATAGTAGGTATATATATTTATGGGGTATCTAGGATGTTTTGATACAGGCATGCACTGCATAATAATCACATCATTCTTCCCTATTTTTTAATGGGTTGTCTTAATAAGTTATAAGAGTTCTTTACATATTTTAGACATATTGTCTTTTGTTAAATACATGTCACGCGAATATTTTTTCCTAGTATATAGCTTGCTTTATTTTTGTAAGTCTTTTTTAATTGCAAAGTTTTGATTTTATGAAATTCAAATTATTGATTTTTTTAAACAGTTCACGCTTTCTTGTTGTTTTAAAGGAATCTTCACTGAGCTCAAGGTCACTAACTTTTTTTTCTTTCTTAAAATACATTTTGTAATTTTAGATCTTGCATTCAGGTTTATGATCCATTTTGATTTAATTTTTGTTTATGGTATGAAATAGGGTTCAAGATTAATCTTTTTACATATGACTATTCAATTGTTTCAACATTATTTATCAAAAAGATTATCCTTTTCCCATTGAACTGCTGTGGTACCTTTGTCAAAATCATTTGTATGGGTTCACTTTCGGACTCTTCTGTTCTATTGATCTATATGCACAGACCTTCATTTGCCATGAAAGTAGTTATGCTTTCCTTTGAGGGCCCTGACTATGGGAATTTTTTTATTGGCTTTAAAAGTTGATATGAGCAACTCAAATGACAGTGGAGAAGATAATTCATACAAGGGTAGGGAAAATGTTAAGTTAATGTTTACTGGAGTATAAACTTTGTGAGAATAGAGATATTGTCTATATTATTCACTTTTATTCCCAGTGAATAGATTGAAAGATTAGACATGATATAATTAGAAGATAATTGAAATTGGAGCTAAGTAATCTCAGATCTAGGGCTGGCTTTGTTTTTCACTTGGGTAGTTCACTTAGTCTTCTGAGCCTTTTTTTAAAATGGAATTTTAAACAGATAAGCATAGGAAGACTGGAGAGTCAGTGTGGTATGGATGGGGGGATATATATGGTGGAGGTGTTAGATGTATCATTATTGTTTTCTTGAGACATCTAAGGGCTAATGCAGAATGTAATCCAATTTGTCTTGTGTGGCTGCAGAACAGGATTTCCCAATCTTAGAACTATTCGCATTTTAGGCTGGATAAGGCTTTGTTGCAGGGAACTGTCCTGTGCATTGTAGGGTGGTTAGCAGCATTCTGGCCTCTACCCATGAGATGCCAGTAGCACCCCGACTCCCAAGTGTGGCAACCAAAAATGTCTCCAGACATTGTCAAATGTCTACTAGGGGTAAAATCACCCTGGTTGAGAACCACCATTATAGAAGATACAAATAGTAGTCAGTGTAATAGGCTATAGGGAGTCAACATTTTTAATAGCAGGGGGAAATTAATCATGATCAGAATTACCAATAGTAGAATTAAGCTATCTAGGGTGGGAGTAGTGGTGAAAGTGAATTTTCTATTTTTATAAGCCAACAGTAGCCAATGTGACTATCCATCACAGCGGGTATTTAAACACTGGGTAGATAGCTGAAGGAGGTGAAACTTGACCTTTCTGAGCTTGTGTTGTTTTTTTTAATCTGTAACTTGAGTATATAACAATGCCAACACTACAGGTTCCTGTGAAGATGAAATGAGGTAACACACATACAGCCCTCTGAACAGCATGTAGCACATACTACATACTTGATACATGGCAGATATTATTATTATAGAGGCCGAAACATGCACTTCAGAAATACATCCCTATATCAGAAGGCTTTCATCTCTGTTCACTGTCCTCTTGGTTCCTTTACAGGAGAAGAGAAGATGCTTATCTGACTGATCAAAACATTGACATGGAGGGAACTAGGGGTCAAGATCATTGTATCCTGAAAAGCTCCAGCCTCTTTCCCGTACTCTGTCTTCCAGTCTCTGTGATAAACAGATGTAGGCAGCCAGGCCACTTGGGGAGACTGCTAACCTCTCTCTTTTCTGACTCCATGCCCACAGATGGGTGAGTAGACTTGGGTCCCTTTTGGGGCCTGGTTATTCCTCCTGTCCTGCAGGGTCATGTTTTGGAACATGGGAGTCAAGATTTAGATGGAGAGTAGAGAAAGAGAGACAGGGCAGGTAAGAAGAATAATTTAGGTCTCAGTAAACCTTGTGAATCAACCCAACCTTTTTATCAGAGCTTTGAAGCATTTTCACAGCTATCAATAATGTAACACTGTCCATCCTTTTTCACTGTCTGCCATGGTACATGATTTTCTTGGGAAACCCACAATGCAGTAGGATGATTAGCAGAGCTGGATTTGGGCTTTTTAGGGTCTCAGACTCAGTAACTTCAAAATAATAATAAACTCAGAAACACAATCCACAAAAAAATATTATATGATCATTAGAGCTTTTTTTGAGTCATAAAAAATTATGATTTAAGAATCTGGAAAAGAGGTTAGATTTGTCTTTCTGGGCCCTTTCAGATTCTAATCATTTTCTCTGAATTTGCCTTATTATCTGACTTGAATCCAATTCTAGGCACAGACACCATTAAATATTTTGTATGCTTCATAAGAAAAGTCCTGGCTGGTATCTGTCTGGTGGATCTATCTAGATTATAATTTTTTCAAAGCCTCTTCTGGAATGACGATTGACATTTTGAATAACAATTTAGTCCTTAGTTTGTATCATGAAGGAAACACAGGTAAACACGATAACTTATTCCAAGGCTTTAACCCAGATAATCAGAGAATAGTTTTGTCATTCATAAATGATGTGTCTATAATTATCATACACTGAATGCACAAAAAGAAAATAAATGAACAATTTTTTTTAAGATTGTTATTTCTCCATGTGTTTTACTGAACTCAGGAAGGCATGAGTGAATAGCTGAGGCCTTTCTAAATCTGGTCTTTCCACATATCAGAGCTTAATGTTTTATAGACACCTATGGCAATAGGCTGTATAGGAACTGTCAATATGTCTATACCCCAAGGAATATCCATAGGTCTGCTCTTTTCTGTGCTCCCTCCAAGCATGCCTTTTCACCTTCCTCATGCAAACTTTTCATTCCTTACATTCCAACCTCACCAAAGGCTAATTATTTTCTTTTCGGAAACATCTTCCTCCAGAGAGAAAAATCTGAATTTTGTACCTATTTTCTTAAATTCTATTTCCTGTTTCAATATAGTAACTCATCCTTTATTTCCACTCTGGCTGTGCTCCAGAATTTGCTTGTCAATAGGAATAGTGGAGTAATTCCAAGACCCAGCACTTCCACCGCAGCCATTACCGCAGAGGCAACGTGTAGGCCATGCTTACAGGGTCTTGGACTCTGTCTTTTACATTTCACAAATGTTCTTAGAATTGTGTCTTTACGCAATGGAGGAAAGTACCAAGAGTTTTGGAATATGGCTCCCCAAATCTGAACATCAAGAGAGGGATCAAATTTCATCCTATAATAGGCAAATTAGGCTGTCTGAGCACCTTGATACCCTCAGAATATAAGCCAACACCTTTACTTATTAACTGCTAACAGGCACTTTACAAACACTTGTAATAGCAGGCTTGTAGCTCAGCAAAAGGAGGTGTGACCGGATTTTAAATTGTGTGCTTGCATTTTGAAATAAGCAATAACCAAGCAGGCTAGAATTCTTTTTTTCCTTAAGACCTTGCTTCCTGTATAGTCTGCATACACAATACTCATGAATAAAAGGCACTGCGATTGCTCCTAATGTCCCAGTTGGCAAAACAAGGGATTTCTGCTTTCTAAACCAAAGTTCCCCGTTCTTTTGGATTATATGCTACAGTAAAATTTTCTAAGAAATTTTGGCAGCTGAATTAGGATTGCCAAATTTTTTACTTTTCCAATTAAGGTCATTAAAAGAAAAACAAAATAAAAAATAAAACCAATCAACTACTTTCACCCTCACCATGGTTTTGTTAAAAATGTTAGAAAGCCTGCTTGCCAGCTGCTTGGATACAAACTTGGTGCTATTGGTGGAACACAGCTGGAGTGAGCCTGGCCTTGCTGGCTGCATGGGAGCTGGGTGAGGCCTGTCACTGCCGGCTTTCCCCCACTTCCCTGGAGACCTGTATGATGCAGCAGAGGCAGCCATAATTTCCTTGGGAACATAACTCCATTGGCCTGAGAACCACACCCTTATCCCCCACAGTGGCCGCAGTAGGCCCTGCCCAAGGAGAGTCTGAGCTCAGACCCACCTACCCTCCCCGAAACTGATGGTTTTTCTCTACCTGCCCTAGTAGTTGAAGATAAAAGAGATACTCTCTTGGCAGCTCAATAGCCCCACCCATCACCTCAGAAACCCAAGTACTCATCCTGGCCAGCGTAGGGTAAGATTATATCCCCCTTCTACTACTGCAGCTGGTACACTCTTAAAAGTACTTTTGGAGTACTCAAGCCATGACAGCAACTCAGAACAGAACCACCCTCCTCCAAAGAAGGAAAAAACGACAGCTAATTCCACTGCCTGCAACACCATGGCTAACCAGAGGTCCTGAGTATGTCCACATGACAACTTCACTGCTAGCATAATCAGCATTCAAGAAAACCAGTGCACTAAAGAAAACTACAACCAAGGACTCTCACACAGTCCACTTCGCTCCCCTGCCAACTCCACTAGAGCAGGTGCTGGTATCCATGGCTGGAAGACCTGAAGATGGATCACATCACAGGACTCTTTGTAGACATTCGCCAGCACCAGCCTACATTCGCCAGCACCAGCCTACATTCCCCAGCACCAGGGCCCAGTAGCCTTGCTGGGTGGCTAGACCCAGAAGTGCAATAACAATCACTGCAGTCTGGCTCTTAGGAAGCCCCATCCCTAGAGAAAGCAGGAGAGCACCACATCAAGGGATTGCCCTGTGGGACAAAAGAATCTGAACAACAGCTTTTAAGTTTTAGACCTTCCCACTGAAACGGTCTACCCAAATGAGAAGGGACCAGAAAAGTAATTCTGGTAATATGACAGAACAAGTTTCCGTAACACTCCTAAAAGATCACACTAGCCCTCCAGCAATGAATCCAAACCAAGAAGAAATCTCTGAATTGCCAGATAAAGAATCCAGAAGGATGATTATTAAGCTACTAAAGGAGGTATCAGAGAAAGGTGAAGTCCAACTTTAAAAAATTTAAAAAAATGTAGGATATGGATGGAAAAGTCTCCAGAGAAATAGATATCACAAAGACAATCACAACTTCTGGAAATAACAGGTACACTTAGAGAAATGCAAAACACACTGAAAGTTTAACAATAGAATTAAACAAGTAGAAGAAAAAACTTCAGAGCTTGAAGACAAGGCTTTTGAATTAACCTAATCCCACAAAGACAATTTAAAAAATGAACAAAGCTTCCAAGAAATTTGGGATTATGTTAAACAACCAAACATAAGAATAATTGGTTTTCTTGAGGAAGAAAAGAAATCTAAACGTTTGAAAAACTTATTTGAGGGAATAATTGAGGAAAACTTCCCTGGTCTTGCTGGAGATCTAGACATCCAAATACAAGAAGCTCAATGAACACTTGTGGAATTCATCGCAGAGATCATTACCTAGGCACGTAGTCATCGGGTTATCTAAAGTCAGGATGAAGGAAAGAATCTTAACAGCTGTGAGACAAAAGCACCAGGAAACCTATAAAGAACAACCTATCAGATTAATGGATTTCTCAGCAGAAACCCTACAAGCCAGAATGGATTGGGGTCCTATCGTTAGCCTCCTTAACAAATAATTATCAGCCAAGAATTTTGTATCCAGCAAAACTAAGCTTTATAAATAAAGGAGAGATAACACCTTTTTAAAATAAACAAATGCTGAGAGAATTTGCCACTACCAAGCCAGCACTACAAGAAATGGCAAAAGGAGTTCTAAATCTTGAAAGAAAACCTCAAAATACACCAAAATGAACCTCCTTAAAGCATAAGTCTCACAGGATTAATAAAACAATGACATAATGAAAAAAAAACCCACAAAGTATTCAGACAACAACTAGCATAATGAACAGAACAGTACCTCACATCTCAATACTAATGTTGAATGTAAATGGCCTAAATGTTCCACTTAAAAGATACAGAATGGCAGAATGGATTAAAATTCACCAAATATCTGCTGTCTTCAAGAGACTTATCTGGCACATGAAGACTCACATAAACTTAAGATAAAGGGATGGAAAAAGATATTCCATGCAAATGGACACCAAAAGCAAGTAGGAATAGCTATTCTTATATCAGATAAAACAGACATCAAAGAAACAACAGCTAAAAAAGGCAAAGAGGGACATTATATAATGATAAAAGGATTAGTCCAACAGGAAAATATCACAATCCTAAATATATATGCACCTAATACTGGAGCACCCAAATTTGTAAAACAACTACTACTAGACCTAAGAAATGAGATAGACGGCAACATAATAATTGTAGAGGACTTCGGTACTCGACTGACAGCACTAGACGGGACATCAAGACAAAGTCAACAAAGAAATGATGGATTTAAACTATACCCTAGAACAAATGGACTTAACAGATATTTAAGAACATTCTACCCAGCAACTGCAGAATATACATTCTTCTCATCAGCATATGGAACATTCTCCAAGATAGACCATATGATAGGCCACAAAACAAGTCTCAATAAATTTAAGCAACTCGAAATAATATCAAGTACTCTCTCAGACCACAGTGAAATAAAATTGAAAATTAACTCCAAGACGAACCTTCAAAACTATACAAATACATGGAAATTAACAATCTGCTCCTGAATGATCATTGGGTCAACAACGAAATTAAGATGGAAATTAAAAAATTATTTGAACTGAACAATAATAGTGACAAAACCTATCAAAACCTCTCGGATACAGCAAAAGCAGTGCTAAAAGGAAAGTTCATAACATTAAATGCCTACTTCAAAAAGTCTGAAAGAGCATAAATAGATAATCTAGGGTTACACCTCAGGGAACCAGAGAAACAAGAACAAACCAAACCCAAACCCATCAGAATAGAAATAGCAAAGATCAGAGCAGAACTAAATGAAATTGAAACAAAAAATATGCAAAAGGTAAATGATACAAAAAGCTGGTTCTTTCAAAAGATAAACGAAATCAATAGACCATTAGGGAATTTAACCAAAAAAAGAAGAGAGAAGATCCAAATAAGCTCAATTAGAAACAAGATGGGGGACGTTACAACTGTTACCACAGAAATACAAAAGATCATTCAAGGCTGCTATGAACACCTTTTTGTGCCTAAACTGGAAAGCCTAGAGGAGATGGATAAATTCCTGGAAATATACAACCCTCTTAGATTAAACCAGGAAGAAATAGAAACTCTGAACAGACCAATAACAAGTAGCATGATTGAAACAGTAATTTAAAAATTGTCAAGAAAATAAACTTCAGGACCAGACAAATTCACAGCTGAATTCTATCAGACATTCAAAGAAGAATTGGTACCAATCCTACTGAAATTATCCCAAAAGATAGAGAAATAGGGAATTATCCCCAAATCATTCTATGAAGCCAGTATTACCCTAATCCCAAAACTAGGAAAGGACATAACAACAACAACAACAAAACTACAGACCAATATCCCTGATGAACATAGACGCAAAAATCCTCAACAAAATACCAGCTAACTGAATTCAACAGCGTATCAAAAAGATAATACACTATCATCAAGTGGGTTTCATACCAGGGACGCAGGGCTGGTTTAACTATACGCAAGTCAATAAATGTGATACACCACATAAACAGAAGTAAAAATAGAAATCACATGATCATCTCAATAGATGCAGAAAAAAGCACCTGAAAAAATCCAGCATCTCTTTATGATTAAAACCCTCAGCAAAATCAGCATAGAAGGGACATACCTTAAGGTAATAAAAGCTATCTATGACAAACCCACAGCCAACATTATACTAAATGGAAAAAAGTTGAAAGCATTCTCCCTAAGAACTGGAACAAGACAAGAATACCCACTTTTGCCACTTCTATTCAGCGTAGTACTGGAAGTCCTAGCCAGAGCAATCAGACAAAAGAAAGAGATAAAGGGCATCCACATTGACAAAGAGGAAGTCAAGCTGTTGCTGTTTGCTGATATAATCACATACCTAGAAAACCCTAAAGACTCATCCAAAAAGTTCCTAGATCTGATAAATGAATTCAGTAAACTTTCAGGATACAAAATTAATGTACACAAATCAGTAGCACTGCTATATACCAACAGTGACTGACCTGAGAATTAAATCAAGAACTCAACCCCTTTTATGATAGCTGCAAAAAATAAAAAATAAAGTAAAAATACTTAGGAATATATCTAACCAAGGAGGTGAAAGATTTCTACAAGGAAAACTACAAAACACTGCTGAAAGAAATCATAGATGACACAAACAAATGTAAAAACATCCCATATTCATGAATGGGTAGAATCAATATTGTGAAAATGACCATCCTGCCAAAAGCAATCTACAGATTCAATGCAATTCCCATAAAAAATGCCACCATTATTCCTCACAGAACTAGAAAAAACATTTCTAAAATTCATATGGAACAAAAAAAGGCCCACATAGTCAAAGAAAGAGTAAGCAAAAAAGAACAAATCTGGAGACATCACATTAATCAACTTCAATCTATATTACAAGGATACAGTTACCAAAACAGCATGGTACTCGTATAAAAACACCAATGGAACAGAATAGAGAACTCAGAAATAATGCCAAATACTTATAGCCAATGGATCTTCGACAAAGCAAACAAAAACATAAAATGGGGGAAACGACACCCTATTCAACAAATGGTACTGGGATAATGCAAGCCACATGTAGAAGAATAAAACTGGATCCTTATCTCTTATCTTATACAAAAATCAACTCAAGTTGGATCAAATACTTAAATCTAAGACTTGAAACCATAAAAATTCTAGAAGATAATATCAGAAAAACTCTTCTAGTCTTTGGCTTAGGCAAAAACTTCATGACCAAGAATCTAAAAGTAAATGCAAGAAAAACAAAGATAAATAGATGGAACTTAAACTAAAAAGCTTCTGCTCAGCAAATGAAATTATCAGTAAGCAGACAACCCACAGAGTGGGAGAAAATATTCACAAACTATGCATCTGACAAAAAACTAATATCCAGAATCTACAAGAAATCTGAACAAATCAGCAAGAAAAAAACAAATAATCCCATCAAAAAGTGGACTAAGGGCATGAATAGAAAATTTTCAAGAGAAGATATACAAATGGCCAAGAAATACATGAAAAAATGCTCAACATCACTAATTATCAGGAAAATGCAAATCAAAACCACGATGTGATACCTCGTTACCCCGGAAAGAATAGCCATCATTTAAAAATAAAAAAAATAGATGTTGGCGTGGATGTGGTGAAAAGGGAACACTTTTACACTGCTGGTGAGAATGTAAACTAGTATAACCGCTGTGGAAAACAGTATGGAGATTCCTTAAAGAACTAAAGTAGAACTACCATTTGATTCAGCAATCCCACTACTGTGTATGTGCCCAGAGGAAAAGAAAAGTCATATTATGAAAAAGACACTTGCACATCCATGTTTATAGCAGCACAATTTGCAATTGCAAAAATACGGAACCAGCCTAAATGTCCACCAATCAATGAGTGGATAAAGAGAACACACACACACACACACACACACACACACACACACACACACACACAGACACTCACCATGGAATACTACTCAGCCATAAAAAGGAATGAAGCAAAGGCATTCACAGCAACCTGAACGGAGTTGGAGAACATTATTCTAAGTAGGTAACTCGGTAATGGAAAATCAAATGTTGTATGTTCTCACTTATAAGTGGGAACTAAGCTATGAGGATGCAAAGGCATAAGAATGATACATTGGACTCAGAGGACTTGGGGTGAAGGGTGGGAGGGAGATGAGGGATAAAGACTACACATTGGGTGCAGTGTACACTGCTCGGGTGATGGGTGCACCAAAATATCAGAAATCACCACTAAAGAACTTAAACATTTAACCAAATACCACCTGTTCCCCCAAAACGATTGAATAATAATTTAAAAAAGTTAGAAGGACATGATCTTAGAATAAATAATCATCCCTTAAGTTAAAAGAATTAGCTTTAGAAAAAAAATATTACGTTTTCTTTATTTTTCTCATTTTGCTACAGATGACTGTGGGCACAATGGTGCTATTTCACACACACAGCTTCACCTAGATCATGGTCAAGGCAGCTGCAGTTTGACACCTGCTCCTACTCAGTCTTTGGGGGATTTTTCAAGCTTGGTGGAGAAGTTCCAGGCTCCCAGGATCATCTAGGTCAGGGATGTCAAATCTTTTGGCTTCGCCGGGCCACAATGGAAAAAAAAAAGGAATTGTCTTGGGCCACACACAAAATACTTTAACAGTAACAGATAGCTGATGAGCTTAAAAAAAAGTAAAAAAAATCCCATAGTGTTTTAAGAAAGTTAATACATTTGTGTTGGGCTGCATTCTAAGCTGCTCTGGGTAACGGGTTGGACAAGCTTGATATAAGTCAATATTCTCTTCTTTGAATTTGTATTTTCCCCATGTCACTTGAGCAATCAGAGGAAGTCACGCTTTGGGCAACCTGAGAAAAGCAGCTGTCTTTGACTGAATACTCCCAGTGTGTCAGGCACTATGCTTAATGATTACCTATATTTTAATCCATAAAAAGAAAGGAGAGATATTTTCATCCCCTTTTTCCAAATGAAGCGACTGTGCTTCAGAGATATTAAGCGTATTTTCTGAGCTCACAGTGCTATTTAATGGTAATTCTGCGATTTGAACCAAAGTCTCTCTGAATCCAAAGTCCTCATATTGGAATTATCTGTTGCCATAGAATGTATTATAAATATTACTTTGGTAGAAGCAAAAAAATGACACTTTGCTTCCAATATGGTGTGAGGGTCATGTGTGCAGAACCCCCCCCCCCAAAATAACAGGTTACTCTGACTGGTTCTGGTCCTCAAATTATTTGAACTTTAATTATTTCACATAAAGCTTGGCTCCCTAACAAAAGCAGTTTAATCCTGGATTCTTGCTATGCTGGTGACTGCGGCTATGTCTTGATCCTTCTGAATATGGCAATTGCATGAGAAAGCTGTTTTTCCACTATGAGTAGACAAATGTAAACTTGGTATCCTTGGTAATTTTTCCATATATTCCCTTAAAGATGGGTGTTTTGTGTTTGTTCTGAAGTCTGACTCCCTTGCATTTATTGGAAGTAAACTTTTTTCTCTTTCTCTCCCGAACATTTCTGTCTCTCAGTATTTCTCAGTCTTTCAGGTTTTCTTCAATCTGTTCCTCTACCCTACCTGATGCTATACTTCCTTCACTCCCAACTCCTTCCCGAGGTAGGTAGTCTCTTCCTTTCCTCCAGTCAGGCCAACCTACCCTGGAATCTTGGTCATTACCATCATTGTCATCTTCCTCTTATTTCTTCCCATCATCATCATGAATTTTAAAGCATTAATTTACTGTATGTCTAGAATTTTGCTAAATCCTTTACGCCTATTGCTTCTTTTAATCTTTATTATTTCTAGAAGTCACGTGGCATCCTCACAATTATGCTCATTTTTTAAAAAAGAAACTATGATTTAGACAGATTATGCCATGTACCTAAATTCATATGGCTGAAAAATGGTGAAGCTGGGTGTGTAAACTAGGCCTGTCCAAAATCCATGCTGTTAACTACTTTATATTGCCTTTCTTCTTGAACACTTCCACAATTTCTTGGACTGCCCATACATCATGATCTAAAGCAAGGTCATCCTCACTTTCCAGGTCCATAGAGAATTCCTATCCTCTCAAATTTTAATCAGTACCATGGCATTAGGCATTGTTCTGTTTATATCATTTGCCACTATGTTATAAGTGCCCTGCCTACTCAGCTAAAACCTAAAAGAACTGGGACACAGACATGCAAGAAATAAGTAGGAAACAACATAAGCCAATTAACAGCATCGTAGTTTTATAGCCAGAGAATATATTGATAGGTGGATTTCCCAGCAAGTTACCCAGGGTGGGCCCAAAGCTTTAAGAACATCCAGAAAGATGCATTCAGGAAGCTGATGGGCATCAGGGATTTGGCACAGTTGGCCTACTGTTTCTCTTTTCTTTTCACAAATGCTGAGAACACACAGTATGTTGGACACTGGGAGAGGTACTGGGGATGCAGAACACAGGGGTAAATGAAACAGTGTGACAGGTGAACTCTGAAAACAGGAGCCTCAGTCTGGAGTTGGCATTTTTCAGTACTGAGCAAGTAAGGGGTCTTCCCCATGTCATGGAAACACAAGTACACACAAGGCCACGCTGACCATCTCCTGTTACATCTGCTTCCTTCTCAGTGCCCCATGTATACCATTTGATGCACACTGAAAGACAGAGTTTCCATAGATGAGTTGGAGCCATATAGGGGTATTTGTTTAACAGAGGAGGGTAGTGATTTTTTAAATCCTTGGCAAATTCCATTGTCTTTACAAATTTAATTCTTTCCTAGAGACCCAGCTCTCTTCCTTCTCACCTGAAAGCTTTCAAAGACAGCTTTGTTGCCAATCCTGTCTTCTGACTGTGTTTATTATAAAGATTGACAGGAGAGTGAAGTGCGTGTTACATAAGGAACAGCACAGGATACCTGGAATTGGGACGGGGCCCACATTTCACAATTGTGGTACATTCTACAAGGCCCACACAATTGCTCTATTAAATTAAATGACTGCAATCTCCATCTGCACTGGTAATCGCCACATAGGCTGGGCGCCTTTACAGCCAATAGCCTGCAGGTGTGCAAATAAGCACTCACAGTCCATACCAGATGTCAGGGCCTAATTAAAATATAGAATGAAAGTGCTCTTCCCTAGGTACTAAGCAGGCAGCACTGTGGTGCTTCTTGGGACAGAAAATGGCAAAGGCAGAAAATTTAATTCTAGTTGTAGCAGCAAATGTCTGCAAGAAATTCACCTCCTGAGGACCACTTAGCAGTAAAAGGAAAGTCAAAAGGAAACCATCTCATTCTCTTGTTCAACATCATTTTCAGTCGGTTGCCATAGTACAATTAGTAGCATTGCCATAGCACAATCAGACCAAAAGCAGAGACTTAGAGTTAAGGATCCCAGCTTGATTTATTCAGATCCTGAAATCAGAAAAAGTCAGACATGCCCTAATGATAAACAAGTCGTACAGTTCATGATTTTGCCCGAAGGGGATGCCATGTCACCTGGATTCTAAAGGCTTAAGAGAACAGCTGAAGAGCTATTGATCAACTAAATAATGTACAAAGAGAAGTGATAGGAGGTAACTGTCTTTTAAAGCCCACGAGAGCCAGTGTTTGGGGTGATAATAAAAGTTTATAATCACTTAAGAATCTACCAAATCCTACCCCCTTTCCTCCTAATGTATTCTTTGTTTCTGTCTCTTTCTCTCTGTGTCTCTGTCTCTCTTTTTCTGCCTCCATCTCTCTCTGTCCCTCTCTATCCTCTCTCTTCTCTCTCTCTCTGCCTTTCTTGCTTTCTCTGGCTCTGTTTCTGTCTTTCTGGATGCCACTGGCTAGTTGCCCTTCCTCTGCAATTTTGTCTTTACTCTCTTCCCCACCCCACCTCTTCATCTGCCTCCTTCTCATTTCCTCCATTTATTTTGTTATGTTATGAAAAACACGGGCCTTGGAATTGCAAATATCTGAGCACGAGTTCTGGCCCTGGTATATTTTCGTTTTAGCTGAACACATTTTTTTTCCTTTTCCTTAGGCTTAATTTAAAAATCAGATGAATTGAATTCCATGGTACTCTCAAAAAACAAAATTAAGTTATTTGAAATATGGGTAGCTCCCAATTTATTTATTCAGGAACCCTAAGGAACACTCTTCTTCATTTAAAAGTGGCTTTTCACATTTCCCAGTGCAAGGTATTTTTATCTTTGGTAGTACACATGGTAATTTTGGTTAGTGTACTTTTATTTTAATAGCAAAGCACTTATTTTAACACGGTCTTAGAAAAAAATGAAATAAGCACATCAAAACCATGTTTTTATGGATGTAAAATAGTTGATCTAAATAGTATTAAGTAAATCACTGAACAGATGGTAAAATAGTTGATCTAAATAGTATTAAGTAAACTACTGAATAGATGGTATGCAATTCTGGCAAAAATAATGAAGGTGTTACTTGAATGATGGTGTAACAATTTCTATAGCGTAGGTATTTGCATACTCAGCATATATTGGGTGGACACCATACACTAGGTCTACACATTATTTTCTATCCTTTTTCTCACCACCCTCAAAAGTGACTGAGGCTCTGAGTGGTGAATACGTTTGCTGAAAGGGTTGGAACTGGGGTTGAGTCAAGGCTTTGGCCTCAGTTATAAAGTCACACACCTTCGATTATATCACAATACCCTCAGAAGTATGCACAGTGCCTGTAGGTGGTGAGTTTGTAAGAAATGATGGATGTTCACTGGCATAATCATTTAGGCAAAATGTATCCTTAAACTCTCATATCAGCCTTACAAGGTAAACATTCATCTCTTTCTTTTAGGGGTGATAAAATAGGCATAAAATGGTTAAGTGGCTTACACCTCATGCTGAGGAGTATTTGGGATTATTCCTAAATACTGTCTAATAATACAGCATCATTAGCATCTTTAACTTCCATTTCTTCTAAGTGCTGGCTGAAGAGTCTTGGGTGTCCCACATATAGGGTATGATTATAGAATAATGAGAATAATCTTTAAAGAATTACTTCATGAGCTGCTAATAAAAGGTAGATTTCTCATAAATTTATTGTCCCTTTTATAAAAGGTATATGTCCTTAAAAAATTTGATTGTGTGTATTTAAGAAACTCAACGTGATATTTTGATGTACATAGGTATAGTGAGATGCTTACTATAGTCAAGCTAATTAACATATTCATAATCTCACATAGTCTCTCCCCACTTTTTGTGGTAAGAATACCTAAATCTACTCTTACCAAATTTCTAGTATAGAATACAATATTATTAACTATTATGCTCATGTTGTACCTTAGCTCTCTGTCCCATCTTGCTTTGATCCAAGCCAGAGTTGGTAAGAAAAATGTATCTGTGGTAGGAAGGATTCTAAGATGGTCCTCAAGATTCCTGGCTCCTGTTTCACACATACTGTCTCCCACTTGTTCGGTTCCATACTATTCTAGGTACTGCTGGAAAGGGGTATGGCAGATGTATTTAAGGTCCCAAAGCAGTTTACCTTAAGACAGAGGTTAGCCTGGATAAGGCCGACTAATCGGGGAAGCCCCTCCAAGGGCTTTTCCTGCAAGAGAGATTTGAAGTGTGACAGGTGAATATTTAAGTTGCTTCCATAACTTGGCTATTATGAGTAGCGCTGCAGTGAACGTGAGAGCAGAGATTTCTCTTAGATATACTGATTTCAAATCTTTTGGGTTAATACCCAGAAGTGAAATTGCTGGATCATATGGTAATTGTTTTTAGTTTTTGAGGAACCTCCATACAGTTTTCCACAGTCACCACTAATCAACGTTTCTAATAATAGTGTATGTGCAAGGTTTCCCTTTTCTCCACAAGCTCTTCTTAATACTACCCTCAGATGATGCCTGCAAAGTGTATCATCCCTTGTGGGTTTATGTGCCAGGTTGACTTTTCTTATCTGCTCATTTCCTCCTGAACACTGTGCCTGTCATCCAGGAAGCCAACGGGAGGTGGTGTCTGTGGGATGTGGCTGTGATACCTGGACTGTGGTCTTGTGTCCTCTAACAGCAGTTCCCAACCTTTTGGCATCAGGTACCAGTTCTGTGGAAGACAATTCTTCCAGGGATGTGGGGGCATGAGGATGGTTTTGGGATGAAACTGTTCCACCTCAGATCGTCAGGCATTAGATTCTTGTAAGGAGCGAGCAACCTAGATCCCTGGCATGCACAGTTCACAATAGGGTTTGTGCTCCTATGAGAATCTAATGCTGCCAGTGATCTGACAGGGGGTGGAGCTCAGGCAGTAATGCTCATCTGCTGCTCACCTCCTACTATGCTGCCCATTTCCTACTGATCCATGGCCTGGGGGTTGGGGAACCCCTGTCCTAAAAAGCCAGTCTTCCCTGGGGCAAGTCAGCGATGCTTAACTCAGACAGATTCCCAGATATCTCTGGGTTTGCAATTCTAACTGAAACCCACAGTGTAAGTCTTTAGGGAGAAATCTGTTGGTAGCTCTAAACAGTTGCTGACACATGGAAAAACCAGGACTGTATGGACCACACTTAAGACAACCAACCACGAAAACTATTCTGCTAATTTTTAGAATTTTGTTGTGCTGACTCAGCAAGGCGGCTATTTGACGGAAATCAGGAACACCAAGGGTGTATTTGTTGTCGTTGTTAATTAACTCTGTGGTTCTGTGACCTTCGGGTTACTTAGCCTCTCTAGGGCATGTGTTAGTGGGTGTCTGAGGTTGTTCTAAGGACTGATGCTAATCTGGTTGCTAAGAATCACCTGAGGAGTTTTGAAAAGTAGAGAAGCCTGGTCTCGTTCCTCAGACATGTTGAAAAATAGTCGTAGTCTTAGCTAATGGAAGCAAATAGCTTTGTTTTAGACAGGCTTTGCAATGGCTTATCAAAGGAATAGGGAGGTACATGATGCCGAGAGCCTGAAAACAGGCTGGATGGGTAGGAAGTCTGGGTACCAGCCACATGCATATTTTAAAGGCACCTTGTGTGATGCTGATGTTCAGTCGGAATTGGGACTGTCTTGGCGAGGTGGTTTCTGGGGTAATTTCCAGCTGTGTTGGAATGATACTAATACTACTAAGAAGATTGCCCATTTATTCAGCTAAATAATTTATATGCTATTTGTTAGGTATATTAGCAGCTCCAGAGCGGCTAATAGCTGAAGAGTTATAGATTTGGAGCAGTTAATATTTTTCCAACATCACACAGCAAGCAAGTGGCAGATCTAGGCCTTAAACTCCATTTGACTTGACTCTTAACCACTCTGCTACCATTTATTCTTCAGCAGTGTAGTGGCAAGTTCTGGGTGAAAGAGTTTTAGGGCACCAGAAACATCCCACCTCTGTTCCACCGAGCAGTTACAAGGTATGTGGATATTCCTATGCCTGGCAGACAGTCTTATTGTGTGCACCCTGACCTCCTAGCTCCTTTGATCACAGAATCTAAGTAAAAGGATCGTGTTTTCATTAACAACAACAAAAGCTACTTTACAAAAAACTAATATGGTGGCTCTGAAAGCTCATGGGTCATTTGCCATTGTAAAGACTCAGGGGAGCTTTTGCGGAGTCATCACACTTGTAAATTTTCTTCTCCTCTGTTTATTCATATACAGACTCCCGATTTAGTGTTTTCCTCTGCAGGTAGGAAAATGCAGCAGTTTTTCCTAAGGGCTCTAATTGAGGATGATGTTTTCTTCTGCTGTGGTTCATTAGAAGCGTTTCCAGTGTAACCCCAGGAGGTGGACATACAAAGTAAATGACATTGGTCTTCAGTTCTGCCCCATAGGAAGAGCAACTGGAGGTCCCGGCAACTTAATGACAGCTAATGAGGACGGAGTTCTCCACAGGTTGTACTGGCTGTGCAAAGCAGCCTCCAGGCGTTATCACATTTCCCCCGGAGAAGCAGCTGAAATCTAAGTGTGCCGAAGAACCAGGGATATCCAGGGTTCTGATTCTCTTTCATCAAATTGTTGCATGACTTTAGGCAAATCTCTCAATCTTTCTTGATATTCAGAATTTGTACACGGGTAAAATGAGTTAAAAACACCCTCTGTTGGTGACTTGAGGCTTAAGGAGACATCATATCTGCAAGCTGTTGGCAAAGAATTATGTGCTTTGCCAGATTTGGCTCTATTAACTGTGCCCCACTTCCTTGGCACAGTCTGGGACCATTCTTTATATTTTCCTGAGGTGACTTATGTGTTGGGAGGCAGGTGGAAACCTGGTCCACGAAGGACTTATTGCTTTAGATTTCTTAATTTCAGGTTGGGAACAAAAATACAAATCTAGTCTCTGTATTTTGCTGGGTGTTACGTTTTGCAAGTAACAGAGACACAAACTTAGGCTCCAGCTGCGTCTGGCTTTGTCTGTTTGTGAAGGGCAAGGCCTCTTTGTTTTCTGCAGGGGGCCTCTCTTTTCTGCCTTGTTTTTACTCCCAGTTAACAATCTCACAGTGTCTTAGGGTTGCACAGAGTCTCCCTCACTGGAGGGAGTGTAACTATGAGCCATGAATAAAGCCAGCAAATGGGGAAAAATCATGCTGCTAGTATTTTACTTATGCCAGCATCGCTGCCTCCGTGGACCCACCAGGCTCCTATGGAGATTCAGATGAATCTTCTGAATCAGGGAGGCAGAACTGAAGTTTGTTTGACTCCTTTGAACGCAACTCTGTTCGTGATCTGTAGCAGTTCTGCAGAAGTCACTAGCCGTGGCCGTGTTTATCAGTCAGACCCCTGGGCTTTGCCCTGGCCTACGTCTCCCCAGGCCATGCCTGTCTGCACGCAGCCAAGTCAAACTCTATTTCCAGGGGCTGAAGTAGACCTGTATCTGCCACTGGCCATCCTAACAAAGCTTGCCCCTCGAGGACAGAGGTCTTTGAAAATGCAACTAAGCAGAGTGCAGGAAGGCAGATTTAGTCAAAGTCCCACTGCCTGATTTTAATTTGATAGTGCCTGCTTTCTTTGCTTTGTTTTCACAGCTGAAAGTCCTTCCTAGTATATATGTTTTTTAACCTCTGAGGATTACTATAGGAGCATAGGGCACAGAAAAATAAGATGCACCTTATATGTGATTGGATATGGACTACAGCACTGACATAACTTTTTGTTCTATCTCCAATCCCAGTCTCAAGTCAGCTTGACTCCTTTAAACAACGTAATGAACTATTCTTGTATGTTGCCTGGGTTCAAATCCAAGCTCCACCACTTACTAGCTACATGGGTTCAAGAACTCATTCTGCTTTCTGCAAGTTTCAGATTTTTTTTTTTTTTTTTTTTTTGAGATGGAGTCTCGCTCTGTTGCCCAGGCTGGAGTGCAGTGGCGCGATCTCGGCTCGCTGCAAGCTCCGCCTCCTGGGTTCACGCCATTCTTCTGCCTCAACCTCCCAAGTAGCTGGGACTACAGGCACCCGCCACCATGCCCGGCTAATTTTTTGTATTTTTAGTAGAGACGGGGGTTTCACCGTGTTAGCCAGGATGGTCTTGATCTCCTGACTTCATGATACACCTGCCTCTGCCTAAGCTTCAGATTTTTAACCAGTAAAAAGGAGATAATCATTGTAGCTGCCTCACAGGGCTTTTGGAGAGATTAAATGAGCACCCACTAGTATCCTATAAATATTAGCTATTGTGGTTACTGTCAAGAGTATTCAGGGACATTTTAACTAGGTGTCTTGGGGCAGCTTTATGAAGGGAATGGATGGCAGGCATGTCAAGGGATTTGATGGTATCATATCAGGCTGTAAAATCCATGGGGGCCAGGATTGTGCCTTGCTCACTTATTTCCCTATCCTCAGTGCTTGGAACATAGGAGGCACCCATAAATATTTGAAGAATTAATGAGGCAGATGACCTAAGTTCGAGTCCCAGTTCTGCTACTTTTGGTCTTGGGCAAGTTATTTACCTTCTTGGATTCTGAGTTTGTACATTTATGAAATGAGGAGAAACAATCTTTCAGGAACAGCTATAAAATTAGTCAGCTGGTACTGTGTGCTTACTATATGCCAGGCACTGGCTAGGTATGTCCCAGGGGCTACATTGTCTGATTTTTCACAGCAGCCCTGTGAGGTAGGTGCAATTACTGCTCTGTTTTGTAGCTGGTGTAACTGATATTTACAGAGGGCAAGAAATGTACCAGGTTGACACAGCTACTGAGTGATGGAGATGAGGTTTCCAACCAGTTAGACTGGTCCCATACTCTGTGGATGCTCTATGCCTCATACAGACTCTGGGATAAAGCAGGAACTCAAAATGTAGCCTCTGCTACTGCTTTTGTTATTAATAAGTTTTTCCTGTGACACTTGGCCCAAGGGAAAGGTTCAGTCAGCCTAGTCATCTCTACGCTTATAACAATATGTCCATACTTGAAAAAGCCCAGTCAGAACTCAGAGGCTGAGATTTCTCTGTGTGTTTTTGACACCCTGGCCAGCATACTGATTTAAAAATTGAAGCAAACACACGTCTTCAGAATGATTTTAGTCGGACACTTGCTAGTAATTTCCACAGGCAGCCAACCAGGAAGGCAAGGGAAAGAGTAGGTTGACACTTTTGGGGAGCTGAGTGATCTGGCAAATGGGGATAAAACAACGTAAAGGCAGGTGCCTGAGCCAGACCCTGCCTCCCTGATGTGATGGCAAATTATAAAGTTGGGGGAAAGTTTGAGAGGGATAGGATCTTTGAGGTCATCTAATCCCAGTGAGGAAAGACGACCAGAGTAACAAGGATATTCAGAGCTATGGAAGGGATGGCAATGAAGGGTCTCTGATGAAGGGTCTGCATGAACAACCCCTAAAGTGGGCACCCATGGCTTGTGCCAGGCCAGCATCCACAGCTCCATTTTCTGGTGACAGTATCTTGGTTTGGGGAACTGCCCACACAAGTTAAATATGTTGACCTGAAGCTGATGCTGTCCTTACTACACTGTGCTATCACTGCTCAAGGCTGCCCTACCCTCCTATTAATAGATAAATCCTGCTGGCCAGTCCATGGAAGAGTTCCTACACTTGCTTCCCACAGCTGCACTGGGAAATCCAAAGATGGAAGATGGAGCATTAATTTCTCTAGTCTTCCAGCAAAGTCACCTAATACAAGTACCTTTCTCTCATGGTAGCATTGTGGGGCTTGTTCAGCTAAGATACCAATTATTGAAGCAAAGTGAGAATAATCAGAGAATCACACCGGATGTGTACAGAAGCTGGCTATATGTTCCTGTTATTAATGTCACTATCCCCAACCTGGCTCCAGCAGTGACTATGTGGTTTTTATATAATCAGCAAAAAGCTACCAAACACCACCAGTGAAAGCCAAGTATTTTTCGAAACAATTCTCTAGAGGATATACTTATTGCAGCATTGTATATAAAAGGAAAAGATTTAAATCAACCTAAATATTCATCTATAAGGAGCTGTTACATAAATTTTGGTACATTTCTACTATACAATATTATGTGGCCATTAAGAGGAATAAGTAATGGTTGTGTATACTAATATAACACAATCTCTAAGAAGTAACAGGTGAAAAAAACCACCTACAGAGACTGGGTGTATCACTTAGGTTATAAAAAAAATAAGGGGCATCCACATGTGAATTTGTATGGATATAGACTCTCACTGGAAGGATACACACATACAAAGTGGTTGCTTTAGGGGAGAAAAGTAGAGGGGCTGTAGACAGTCTCTACAGAAAGCTTAATTTTCAGTAAATATTCATAATGCATTAAACATGCTTTTTACCATGTCCACGTATTATCTAAAGTAAACACATAAATAATTTTAAAGCCATAATAAATAGTTCTTCATAAAGTATAAAACTTCACTTGGAAACAGCATCTGAACTTTCCTCATTCACTCAATCCCAGTGAGGTGGCAGCATTTAAAAGCATTTTATTTTCTCCCACAGTGGAGACCACAGCTCCAAGGATGGAAGAAAGACTGCTCCAGTCCTCCAATACCCTTCCTGAAGAGATTTGATGACACAAAGTGAAAGGAAGAAGTTGTCCAAACTCCTACTCATTCAGTATTTCTTCAAAAACTCATAATAGAGCAAAGAAGAGGCTGAAAGTCAGTTTTCCCCCTCTTTTTTAAGTATCTGGGCAGCAGAAGCATCCAACTCTATCCCATAAGCCCACTTGATTGTCATCTAGGAAGTCATGGACCAGAGGATGTCACATCCAGAGAGCATCAGCTCTGGGCAAGACAATCCACTGTGGTGTGAATAAAATAACTTCTATTCATGATCACTTTTATCCAAAAATATTGACTTTTTTAAAATTACAGATATGTTATAAATACATATACACATAGTAAGGGCATATTCTGAAAAGTTATTGCTAATAGGGGTACGTTGTCAAAATATTTAGGAGACCACTTTATCGACTAATTCCAGAGAGGCGAAAGGCACAGTGGCAATAACACCAGTGTTAAAGTCAGGTGGATTTGTGTCTAAATCCAAGCTCTGTTCCTTATTAGCTGTGCTACCCTGAGTGAGTGATTCTGCTTCTCTATGTCTAGTTCATCACTTGCAAAAATGGGATAATAGTAGTAGGCGTCTTAAGAGTGACCGTGGTAAAGAGGGAATGGAATGAAGTCTGTGCAGCATTGAAGCAAAGGGAGAATGATCAGAGAATTACATAGGAGGTGTGCAGAAGCTGGTTATGTGTTCCTGTTATTAATGTCACTATCCCCAACCTGGCCCTAGCAGTGACTTTGTGGTTTTTATATAATCACAAAAAGGCTACTAAACACCAGTAGTGAAAGCCAAGTACTTTTCAAAACAATTCTCTAGAGGATATACTTATTGCAGCATTGTATATAAAAGGAAAAGATTTAAATCAACCTAAATATTCAGAATGGCTCCCACTGATTCCTACCCCCTAAGATTTACACCCTTGTATCTTCCTCTGGCCTTGAGTAGATATAGTGACTTACATCAGTGAACATATTAGGCAAAAGTGATGGGATGTCACTTCTATAATTAGGTTACAAAAGACTGAGTTTCCTCTTGCTAACCACCTCTCTTACTCTTCTTGTGTATATGCCCTAAAGGAGAGGGCAAGCTGGCAAGAAACTGAGGGAAATCTCTGGACAATGGCCAGTGAGGAAATGAGACCCTCTGTGCAACAGCCTTGGAGGAACTGAGTGTGACTAATCACCATGTCAGTGAGCTTGGAAGTGGATCCTTCCCCAGTTGAGCCTTCAGGTGGGCCTGCAGTCTTGGCTAATACCTTGATTGTGTCCTCGTAGGAAACCCCTGAGACAGAGAACTCAGGTAAGCTGCTCAAAGATTCCTGACCCATAGAAACTGTAAGATAATGTGTATTATTCTTTTAAGGCAGTTAATTTGGGGGAGATAATTTGATATTCATCAATAGACAAATAAAGTAGCTTGCAAGTACTTAACAATGGATGCTGTATACAAGCTCAGTAAAAGCTGTGGTATGGGATATTACATAGCAGATGTATGGCTATGTCCTTATCTCATACACATGGTAGACATCACTGATTATAAAATATTTTCTCCTGGTGAATCCAGATGCAGTCTCAGAATACTAACACTAAAGTTCAGGAAGCTATCAACTGTTCAGATAAAACCAATTCTAATCTAGTCAGTACTTATCATCTCTTTACTCTAATATGTAATATTCCTTTAATGGGAGACAAATTCTTTCATGGTGAGAGATAGCACTGCTAATTATTAGAACAAATCTTTGAATGTATACAAAATATAAATGGCTGACATTTCATTTCAAGAATAGATTTTCCTCTAGAGGAGGGTGAGAGAGACTGAGAGTACTGGAAACCTTAAGAGAATGGAGGAGATAAGCCTAGAAGTAGAAGCTGGGAGCATGGAAGCTCACCTTATTTCTCTTTTTAAACCATGATTTAGCCTTTTTATAGGGTTGCCATATAAATATACATGTTTTTTGGTGATTTCATAGAACATAATTTATTCTTTTATACAATAGCATCATTTAATCACAATACTAACAATGCATTTGTTTCAGAAATGCAGGCAGTTGAGATTAACCACATACAAAACTCTAAGGTAGTATGTTCAGACTTAAACATCTAGAAAATAGTTTCCAGACTTAAAAATAGTTATTAAATCTCCTTTGATCACACTAACAACTTCACTTCTATCTGTGCATCTCATTGGGGTTATTTCCAGGAACATTTTTCCCCCTTTACCCCAGTGTACTGTGTAATAACTGGATTCCTGAACTGAACACTCCTGAAACTTTTCCTACTCACCCACAAGAGAATTTATTCTTAATTTCAATAGATACTTTTAGATTCCAGCAATTGTTTAGAATTCATGATCTACTCAGGTCTATAAATTGAGATGGCATCATTAAAGTGACTACAGATTTTACTGCACTACATTCTAGGGAGGCTTTTTCCTTTGATTTCATAGTAAATGTGTTACATGTGTTATATTTATCTAAATTCAATGCATAAAAGTAATAGCATGTTTATATCTTAAGGGCTGCCATTTTGAACAAATGAAGGAATGGAGGGGAAGTTGCCATGAAAATGATGAAATTGTCAAAGGAGTAAACTGTTGTTTTGAAATAGGGAACATATCCTTCAACTCAGTATGAAATGTGTTCTTTGCCCAGTACAATAATAGTGTGGGCTATTTAAATAATGTACTCTTAGTATTTATGTGCTTCTTTTTGTTGGTTAAAGCAGAAAGATCTCTCGAAAATAAGAAGAAATCCAGGTGAATGACCACAAGGAATTGTCCTTTAGGTCCATAACATGCATATGAAATACATGGGGATCTTGAGAAAATGTATATTTGGACTCAGTAGGATGGTCTGGGTGAGGCCTAGAATTCTGCATTTCTAAGGAAGTAGTAGGTGCTGTGGATGCTGTTGGTCTGCAGATCTCACTTTGAATTGCCAAATAGCAATCGCCCTTTTGCCTTGGGGATGTTTGAAAGATTTTTAGGTCAATGCTGCTCTACGTCCAGGAGCCTGTGGTGTTGTCGGTTTGTGATGGGTACAGGGTGTTTGTTCAGTTAGCTCTTTTGGTGGGCACAGAACTCCAGACAGACATTAAGTGAGTTAGGGAAATTGAAAACCACCCTTGCTGCTCTGGGAAGGATGACAAGAATTCAAGAAACTTAGGTAAGATCCTGAATGATATGATAGAAAACATCTTTGGAAATAGAAAAGGCAAATAAATATCATTTATGGAAAGAGAAAAAATATTTCATTTTCCAGTGTGTTTTGGAGCAACTCATACTGGCACAACATAACAGAACCCATCCATTTTGCAATCTATAGAATTCAGTATAAAGTCACATGTCCAAGTTTATTCCTACTTTAATTTTCATAATTGCACAGCAACCTATCTTGTTTAAAAATGGAAGTAAAATATAAAAATAAATCAAATGCTGGCCATAAAAATAGGTTGACCTTGAGGCCAGGGTTGAGTGGTTTACATTAAAGATAAACTCTTGACTGACAAGGATGGTCCATTTACTACAACCTGCTCCTTATACAATACTTTCTGAGGCAGAATTATTTTTTGCCTTAAAACAGTAGAGTAATGCCTAAAATTGTATGGTTCTACATTTCAATTGCTGTGGGATAGAAAGTATTATATACAAAAGAGATACTGGGGGTTGAGTAAGGAGATTGGGAAGATAATAGATTCCCTAGAAATGCCACTCTTTAGGAAGTTTCTTGCAAATCTCTTCCTTTCAGGAAATATTTTCTATATAATTTATTCACTCTTTCACCAAAAAATGTTGAAACGCAGTAATGTAAATATATTAAACACTTGGTATATATTGGTCAGTAACAGCAACAACCACCAGAACTGGCTCCTGCCCACAGGGTGTTTACAGTTTAGACAAGGCACAGAGAGACGTTGCTGAAGTAAACACTAAAACAAATCTAACGGTTGTCTGCAATAACAGCAGTTTTCTTATTGTTCTGTAACAACTCGGTGTAAAAATGTGGCATCAGCAAAGTTTACATTTATTGCACTTTGTTCCCATTTTCTTCCTCCATACACACACACACACACACACACACACACACACACACACACACTCACTCACTTTAGGAGCCCAGCCTCACAGGCGTATCTGAGCCCCCAGAAGGGATCATGCAGTATCAATATTCTAGTCCTCTATGGTTCTTCCCTCCCATACCTGACCTAGCAATGACTCTTCAAGGAGCTTACTAAAGAGACAGCAATATGTGCAGAGAAATATCTCTGTGCAGAAGAATGTTTTGATGTAATTAAAAATAGTGATGATATAGCTAAGAATGACAGGTATAGTTTAAAAGAGGATTGAGTAAAGAAATTATCATTAATTCCTGAGGTGCAATACTAATCAATGGCAAAAAATGACATGTACATACACACACACACAAACTACAAAGGAAAGATATCTATAATATTGAGTTCACAAAGCGGGTTTGAGAATAGCTTGTATAAAAGGATCTCACTATGTAACATTGTATTCATATGTGTTATGTGTTTATACATAACAGGTATTTCCATTATATAGAAGTATATATACACATATATTACAAATTACATATACACATGTAAGTTGTATGCCTCCTCCAGGAGAACTTTTTAATTCAAAGGAAATTTTTTATTTTCTTCCATAAGTTATTGTGGTACAGTTTGGTTACATAAGTTCTTTAGTGGTGATTTGTGAGATTTTGGTGCACCCATCACCCAAGCAGTATACGCTGCACCATATTTGTAGTCTTATCCCTTGTCCCCCTTCCACTCTTCACCCCAAGTCCCCAAAGTCCATTGTATCATTCTTATGCCTTCGTGTCCTCATAGCTTAGCTCCCACATATCAGTGAGAACATACGACGTTTGGTTTCCAATTCCTGAGTTACTTCACTTAGACTAATAGTCTCCAGTGTCATCCAGGTCACTGCAAATGCTGTTAATTCATTCCTTTTTATAGCTGAGTAGTATTTCATCATATATATATATATGTGATGGATATATCTATCCATGGATATATCCATGGATAGATATATCCATCACATATATATATATATATCATATATATATTCCATCATATATATGATCGATATATATCATATATATACTATATATATGGGTGATATATATGGTTGATATATATATCATATATATATGATACACACACACACACACACACACACACACACACACATACACACACACACCACAGTTTCTTCATCCACTCACTGATTGATGGGCATTTGGGTTGGTTCCATGATTTTGCAATTGCAAATTGTGCTGCTATAAACGTGTGTGCAAGTATCTTTTTCGTATAATGACTTCTTTTCCTGTGGGTAGATACCTAGTAGTGGGATTGCTGGACCAAATGGTAGTTCTACTTTTAGTTCTTTAAGGAATCTCCACACTGTTTTCCATAGTGGTTGTACTAGTTTACCTTCCCACAAGCAGTGTAGAAGTGTTCCCTGTTCACCGCCTCCAAGCCAACATTTATTGTTTTTTCATTTTTTGATTATGGCCATTCTTGCAGAAGGACTTGCCTCTATGCATATACACATCCTGTGTCCCACTTATCATCGCGGCTCATCAGGGAACTGAAATTGAGGAAAATAATAATAGCTTAATCCACCTTGGCCAGGTAGCATATTTGTACTATAGCTCAAAGCTTCGAAGCCCAAGTGGTGTGGATCTTTGAGGCAGATCAATAAAAGACAGATTTTGAGACAGAAAAGTCTTTCTGAAACTCTTGGATTATTTCCTATAAATGACCAAATATAAGGCCATACACAGCTCACAGGAGACTCTTAAAACTGAATGGTGAGATCTTGCAAAATTATCTTCTTTTGGCTGCACAAAGCAATTGCCTATACTTGAATGGTGGTAAGCAATGCTTGGGACAATGAATTTGAGAGTCCTTTTTAATAGAATGAACTACTGCAGGTAATTTTCAGGCAACAACTCAAATTCTTATCTAAAAAACTAATTTTTAGCTTTTCTTTTCCTGTTGATGCCTTTTCAGGCAGGTGGAGGATTTTCTTAAGCAGTTGGTATCTGCGGAGTTATGCACATCTTTGTGAAGAGCCCAGACAAATTAGAAAGTCAAATTAGCAATGCATATTTAATGTTATTTGTAGTTGTTGTTGTTGTTTTTAAGTTGGCAGTGATGTTTACTCTTTGAGGGGGAGTTTATAATTATGCAAATTGGAGAAACAGTCTGCATATGGTATAATGATAATGCCTTGGGTTTTATATCTAGAGTCTAAGTATTTCTTTCATTTTACCCATGACTAGAGGGGAGGTTAGCCAAGGCTTGTGCCTGCTTTCTCTGCCATGATGGAGTATGTGAGGTCTTAGAACTTGAGTACCTTTATAAGCTTTCCTCTTAGAGGAAGCACTGCTGAGATTTTCATAGTATCATCTTATAGTAGATACTATTGATTGCCTTTACAATCACTATTCTTTCTTCCTTTTTTCTTTCTAATAAGATTTTAGTTTTGTTTATATATCCCCTTTTCTCCACACAACCATGTAGTTCAGGGAATGTGAGTCCCATTCTTAACATCAAGAAGGGACTAACAGTTATTCTAAACCAATCATGGTGGTTCCATTTGCTTTGCTAAGGACTGGTTTAGGCAAGGGTGTGTAACACATTTCTGGCCAATAAATGTGAGAGGAAGTTTGCTGGAGACTGATGAAAGAGACAACCCACTGAAGAGGTCATAATCCAAGTCTTGGTAATATTACTGATTTACTCCATTGACAATCTATGGACCTCTCTTACCTTGGGACTTCTTATGAGGGCCAACAACTTTTTTCTTGTTATTTACGCCACCTTGAATCTGTACTTTCTGTTACTTGCAGCCAATAGCACATCTTAAGTGATATATAATTTGACAGGTCCTATGTTGTCTGGGGAATATATACAATGGAGAAAGTTTAAACCATTTACTTGGCATCTGACATACCAGATCAGCTGACGTTTATTTTACTGGGTTGGAGGAAGAGATAGCGGTGGTGTTTTTTTTGTTCTGTTTTGTTTTGTTTTTTTAATTTAGACTCAGAGGGTACATGTGCAAGTTTATTTCATGGGTATACTGAGTGATGCTGAGGTTTGGGCTTCTAATGACCCCACTGCCCAAGAAGTAAAGATAGTACCTGATAGGTAGATTTCAAGTCTTGTTCCTCTTTCTCCTTCCCTCCTTTTTGAAGTCTCAGTGTTTATTGTTCTCATCTTTGTGTCCATGTGTAAGAAATGGTAGTTTCTCATCTTGGCAGTGGAGAGGAGTTCATTATCTCCACTGAGTGAGATGAATAATAGGAAAAACTACTTACTCTTCACACTGTTGCTTTCATTGAAACAAATGTCACCAGTCGGTTCTGATTCTCTTGTCAAAGGAAGCCTGCACGACACAGGACAGAAAAGAAATACAAAATATACAATCTCATTTTAGTATCAGCAATAATCAAGTATTTTGCCCTTTTCTCTTTAACTGGATGGCTTTAGCTTTAGACACACTTTATAGAGCAAGTGGAATAGATTCCCAGGAAGTTGTTTCAGTAGAAACATTTTATTTCTGCCAGGGAATCAGGTCTGCTACTTTATCTGCCACCATACAGAATGCAAATTATGGTCCCAGAGATCCTCAGCTAAATGCCTAATTGCTCCATGAAATGTGTGCTGGTCCAGCCACTCAGTGCATTTCATCTTTTTTGTCACATTGACTGGTTTCAGAATGGATATGGGATTTCAGACCAATGAAAGTCAGTTCTGAAACTTGTGTTGAAAATGTAGTAGAAGGTCTCTTTCTACTGTATTTGCAATGATGAAGATGGAGACCCAGAGCTGCTGGAAGCCAACATGGGAAATCAAGACTGCAGTTTTGAGTGAGAGGTACCTAGCTTTGATGTTATTTGGACCCCCAGATTTAACTATGATTGAACTTTTCACTTGTGTGAACTATACATACCCTTCTCTGCTTAGGCTAGTTTTTGTTGTTTTCTTAAGCCATTGGGTTTTCTGTTTTTCTTTTTAAAAAAATCCTCACCAATATAGAAAACAGGGCAGTTATCATAATTTTCACTTCATAGAGTATGAAATAGAAGCTCAAGAGAGAGGGCAGGGTGGGAAAATTCAAGACTCCTATTCAACGGCTCCCTCCATTCCATTCTACTGCCTAACTTCTTTCAGTAATTCATTACAGTAACTCATTACAGGAAAGAGTTGACACACTCATTGCTAACTTTACTGACTTTAAACATTTCCACTTTGGAGACAATGAAGTTGTCTTCCACAAGGCTACCAAGGGAGATAATCTATATTATTTTAGCAAGGTAAAGATTATTCACATGCATATGCACACACACATACTCTATAAAAGGCCACGGTAGGTGCTTTAGATTTGGGCAGAAGATCTCCCTATAGGGTCTGTCCAAGATGCAGCCTGGTTCTTGTTGAAGCCCTCACTCTCCAGGGGACAGCTGAACTAAGTCAATGGACAGCCTCGGCCTCCTCAGTCTTGTCCCCCTGATTTTGGTCATCTGCATGACAGCTCTCTGGTGGCCTGTGACTAATCACAAACAAACTCTCCACCCAGCTGACTGACCTGCCTAGGGCCCAGTTCATTCTCAGTGAGTCACTAAACAGAGTTCACAAAGAGAAAGTCCATAGCCCAAATCCTGCTCCTTGAAGGGTTTTGACACAGACACACACACACACACACACACACACACACACACACACACACACATTATTTGAACTACATTCACACATTGAAAATTTTTACTTAAAAAGGGTAGATTTCAAGATTCACATTAAAAAATTCCAAAAGGCTGTCAACATTATTTGCATTCCCACACAAGGACACAAGCTGAATCTGAGTGGTGTCTACAGGGTTCAGGCAGGGCACATTTACTTCGTTCACCGTATTTCCTGATCTGTCCTCCTTTACTCACTTCTGCCACGTACCTGGCTGTGTTTTCAACCCCTGCCCTAACCTTCCTACAACCTGTTATTGTTGGCTAAGCCAACTGAGATGCCACCTTGCCCTCCAGTGGCCGTGTCTGGAAGCAGCCTGGGTCCAGCTAGGTTTCCATCTTAGCCTCCAGTTCCTCCATAAATAAAATGGCACTGCTGTGAGACTTTTTAATTTTCTCTTATCCTTGTTAAATCTTCCAAGTCCTCTGTAGAAAATAGGAATTATTTATTTAAATCAGAAAAATAAGTTAATAAATGCTCTTGTGAAAGTAAAGCTTCCGTGTCCTGCGTGGGGGGCAGGAATTTGGGGAGGCTGTATGGTGGAATCAGCTAGGCACTGGAGGAGGTGTCAGAAGATTGGGACACTCTGTGATCTTTTATACTTTTATTTCTGTCTCTTGACCTTGGTTTCCCTGTCTATCAAATAAGGAAGCCGTGTGTGCTAGATCAGAAGTTATAAACTGGTGGCCCCATAGTCCGTATCCAGCTAATAGACGGTATTATTCCCCCTTATTAATTAGATGCCAACAGCTAAGAAGAACGTTTCAATTAACAATCCAGATTACAGACTTGTTGGAACTGTCTAGCAACAATCACTAATGGTCCAGTGATGGTTAGATGGGGTAAAGTTTTGCCCCTGTCCTCATCTACTTCCTAGAGGTCATACATTCACCTTCACCACCTGTTTTATTTGTTACATTCCCCTTGCCATTATAGGCATTTGCTTTTCCTACTCTCCAGTGAGATGACCTCTAGAAACCCTTTAGCCCTCATTTCTGTGAGTAGAGGCTGGTGCTCTGAGAGTTAGAGACAGACAGTCTGGAGAAGAGGAAAATGTTCTGAGCAAAAAGCTCACCCTGGGACATTCCAGTAAACCTTAATGAATTGCTCCTCCTCCCCACTTGGCCAACAGTTGAAACAGCAAGACGCCCAGGCCTTTGTGAAGGTCCCACTACATGGTTAAACCTAAAAAGGCAACAGCGGATTTTGAAAGTAGAAATATTCTTCCGTTGGGGTTGCTAGCTGAGTCTCTAAGTAATTTGCAATTCAAGTGTCTCTTTGTTTTGTATGAAAATTTGCTGCTATCTGGAAAGTGGGGAAGAGCTAAATTGCATCCTGCTGGTTTTACTTTGGCTGTATCAAAAAAGAAACTGTTAATCTGGTTCCATAATTAACTTTCCTGTTCTAAAAAGGCCCTGGGAGAGAGTCCAGAGGGTGGCTGTCAACTCCCTGCCTCTCTTCTCAATAACTCCTTTCAATAGAATGCCCTGAAAGGAGAATGATTCCAGGTGGGGATTGGTCTTGGTTTTCTAATTTTTCTTCTCCTTTATCACCATCCAACCACTATTTAGTGAATAGCTACAGTGGGTAAGGCACTGTGCTGACTAGTTGTGTGCCTAAGGATAAATAAATCCCTGTGGAGCTGCCAGAGAACATAAGTAAGTTAACTTTCTATCCATCCACCATCCATCCATCCACTCATTCATCCAAAATGAATGAGCAGATGAATATAGAAACAGTTAGGTTTCTATATTATGGCAGACACTGTGCTAGGCATCGGTATGTGATACATACAAAGATGGCTTAATCGACATTCAAAAATTCTAAAGTGGAGAGATGAATTCTGACTAGGGCCTCAATAGTTGGCTTCATGGAGAAGATAGCATTTACATTTACTTTGGCCCCTTGATATTTATGTGCATGCATACATGAGTGCACACACCTCATGTACATGCACCCATACATGTGGATGAAATGCTGGTGAGACAGGCCAATTGATTCAAGTAGAGGCATGTAGGCTGGGAATTCAGTTTGACCATCACCGGGAGACCCCTTTAGCAGTAGAAGTGGGTTTGAACTAACATTAAGTGCTAACAAATTTGAGTACAGCCATGCAACAAGGGATATGTTCTAAGAAATGCATCATTAGGTGATTTTTTTATTGTGTAAACACCATAGAGTGAACTTACACAAACCCAGATGGTAAAGCCTACTCTACGCCTAGGCTGTATGGTCTAACCTACTGTGACTAGACTACAAACCTGTACAGCATGTTACTTTACTAAATACTGTAGGTCATTGTAACAAAATAGTAAGTAGTGTATCTAAACATAGAAAAGTTACAATAAAAACATAGATAAGGTACAATAAAAATATGGTAGTAAAATCTTATGGGACCACTATTGTATCTGTGGTCTGCTGTTGACCGAAATGTCATTTTGTGGCACATGACTGTACTGCTAGGCACTGTGCTAAGCACTTTGCATCTATTATCTTAATGAAATTTCACAATGCCAAGCGTAATTATTGGCTACAGATTACAGACAGGAAACAGACTCAAGGAAGTTCCCAGGGAACACATTGGCAGAATAGATAGTGGAGGTGAGACCTAGGTTCATGTCTCATTCTAAAGCACAAGGTTTAACTTCTAGGCAATATAGCCCAGCAGGGGGTTGGGGATGGGGAACCAAAGGAGGACTTAGGTATCTGTTAACCAATCAAGCAGTCATTCAATCAACAATGTATTCATTCATTCATGCAAATACTGTATATGTTTGCTGAGTATTCTGAAGATTGGGTGTAAAGAAAACAAAATAGGCAAATTCCTTATCCTCTTCGAGCTTCTGTCCCAGGGACCTAACACTGAAGCGCTTCCCTCCTCTACAGTGCACAAAGGAGAAAGTACAATGAGGCCAGAGTTAATCTCCAAGTTGATCCCCCAGAGGACTACTCATTGGCTGACCTTTGCCTAGTTCCACCCAGACAATTTGGATGGTACCCTGTCACCTTATTTTCTTTAAAGGACATTTGTTTTATCTTTTCTCTTCTCTCTGAAATTACTGCCTTGGGTATGATACATGTATTTTCCAATCCTATCCTCAATTGCAACTTGAAAAAAGTTTGTAAAGAAGTTGTTCTTTGCAACCCACTCAAGAAACCTAAGTAATTTTTCAGTGTTGATTAGGCTATTTTAGGTCTGGCTCTGAGGAAAGTTAGAGAGAAACCCTCGTCTTAACCCTGGTTCCCAGTTCACATCTACCTGAGAAAACTACTCCTAGAAGTCACCAAATTCTGCCTTAAACCTAACCCCTGAAACATCTATTAGGTGTCTTTTATGAGTTGGTGCACAACTCCCAAGATATATGAGGTATCGCTCAAAGACACTGCTTTATTCCTGAGAATTAGAACTGGGTAGGAGTCCTGACTGTCAGGGCTATATATAAGTATCAAGGAGAAATTACCCTTTGTGTTATTGCACCTGTAAATGAGGAGGACAGTTGAAACAAGATCATAAGTTGACAAAAGGATGAGGTTGCCAAGGGAACCTTGTATTCTCTGGCAGAATAATGGCTCCCTGAAGATGCCCATGTCCTAATCCCCAGACCTGGGGAATATGTTACATCACATGGCAAAGGGAACTCTGCAAGTGGAATTAAGGTTACAGAGTTTAAGATTCGGAGATGATGCTGGATCATCTGGGTTGGCCCAGTGTAATCACATGAGTCCTTTAAGGTGAAAGAGGCAGGCAGAAGCGCTGATGAGTTACACGATGATGAAAGAAGCAGGAGGAGAGATCTAAAGTGAGAGAGACTGGATCCACTGTTGTTGGTTTGAAGATGGAGGAAGGGGGTCATGAGCCAAGGAACCTGGGCAGCATCTAAAAGCTGGGAATAGACCTCAGGTGAAAGCAAGAAAGGAAATATGGGCCTGCAGTCCTACAACTGCCAAGGAACAAAATTCATCCAGCAACCTAAGTAAGAAAGAATATAAATTTTCCCCTAGCACCTCTAGAAGGGAGCACAACTTTGCCAACATCTTGATTTTAGTCTAGTAGGACCCATGCTGGACTTCTGACTTACAGAACTGTAAGATAAATAAAGTTGTGTTGTTTTTAGCTTCTAAGTTTTTGGTAATATGTTAGGGCAGCAATAGGAAATTAATATGCTGACTATTGGTTGAATCTCTATTCATTGGTAAGTGTGATCTAGGAGCAAGTGCGGCTTGAAACCTGCCTGTGCTCAGTAGGAATTGGTGTCATTAAACATGGCAGAAAACCCAAAATGACAGTGACTTGAACACCTAAAGTCATCCTTTTGGCTTCAAACAAGTCTGGAGATAGGCAGTCCAGGGCCTTCCACCATGGTGGTTCTATGGTGTCACCAGGAAAGAAGGATGATTCTGACTTTCTGCTGTTACTTCCAGGGTTAGTGCTTATTCTTCTGATCCAAAATGGCCATCAGAGCTCTAGCCATCACACCTCAATTACAGGCAGCAGGATGAAGAAAGTGCAAAGGAAGCTGTTGCCTTAGGAATACTTCTCAGTAGCTGTTTATGATACTTGCACTTCTACCTCATTGGCCAAAACTTGGTCACGGGATCACATATGGCTCTATAGAAGGCTAAGGAGGACAATACACTCAACTAAAAGTTAGGATTCTTATCACTAAGGAAATAAGAGAATGGACTTGGAGAGAAAACTGACAGTATCAGCCTTCGTGTGGTCATTTTTGTGGGATTACTGGATGGTTCTCAAAGGGCCACAGCTATGAAAATGACTCTAGCTGGGATGAAAGCTTTTCCCTTCCCACTGACCAAAGGCTCTTCTCTCCCTCTTTACAGTCCTTTCTCCTAACTCCATTTTCCAGTCTACCTTAGTCCTATGCAGTGTTAAGGGCCCATTTCAAATCTTACCTCCTCCAATAAGTTTTCCTAAATTCTACTCAGAGGAAATAAATCCCCCCCTCCCTAAACTTTCATAAACTGGGTTCTATGTACCCCTTGTCACACTCCATTTTATGTGGGCATTGCTACTGTATGTGAGCGTATTTACTGCCTTCTGGAATGCAGGCCATCCTTTTATTCACAGTTGTATTTCCCACAATGCCTCAAACACAGCATGAACTCAATATATGCGTGACATATCAGAGAATGTGATCTTGTTCCCCAGTATCCATATTGTTCCTTTTATTTTAGAAATAAACCCTCTTCCTGGATCTAAGTGTTATCTGGGTATGTTGGTTGTGCAGCTAGAGACTTCAGAGTCAAGTCTCTTTTGTGGTTACGTGGAACCATGTGACTGTGTTAGGGCCACTGGAATATGAGCAGGCATGGTATTTGCAGGTTCTGAGTCACCTCTCTGAAGACAATTCTGCTTGCCAGGACTCTTTCCCCCACTTCTTTTCTCTTGGCTGAAAACAGTACAGCAGTCACCTTGGACCCAGAGATGGAACCCACATGTCAAGGATGGCAGAGCCAACCAGCCAGCTTGTGACTCAGGAATACCTGCTGCTGTCTACTTGCCCTAGATTGCCTACCCACCTTTGGATGTGAGGATACACACACTCTCTCTTCTAAGCTGCTTACTTAGTCTCCAGGGTAGCAGTTTACCTGTGCCTCAATTCATCCACATGATCAATGTAATTGGTCACTCTTGGCCTGTGGGTCGAAGTCTGGCTTCCTTTCTACCTGTCCTTTTCCAGGAGGGTGACGTTAACCCTAAAATGACATGACCTAAAACACTCAACTGAACACACACATGCCATGCTCTCAAAGCACTTCAGAGCACTTGATGGAGGTGTGGGTCAGGCTCTTGCATCCTGCTTAGCCAGGAGGGCTAAGGCAACAGGTTTGTGCCTAGCATTTTATTATTTCTGCTGGAGTCACTCTTGAAAATATTTTTAATCGGGAGTATGTTCAGAATTCTTAAATAATGTTTTGCACCAACATTTATTGTTGATTCATTCTTCTCAAACCCATCATTTTAGAAAATTGTCTTTTTGCTGCCTAAGTATTTTTGCCATTTGAAACTTTCTCTTCAAAGTTCCATTTTTTTTTTTTTTGCCATACTCTTTAGGAGCCTATTTAGACAATTCTGCTGAGCATGCATTTCCTAGCTGACTATTAACAATAAAATGCCTTGTGTCTGTATGTATTTTTATTTTAATATGTTCCAAAGCCTTTTACAATCGAATAGCACTTAATTATCAGAGAAGCCTGGCAAGTAATGCAGCTTAAGCGTTAGTATTTCCACTCTGTAGACCAACACTCTTCAACAATTGTGTGGTGTAACAGAATTTAACTATCCATTATGAAGTATTTATATTGTAAATACAGTCATACGCTAAATAACATCTTGATCAACAATGGATCGTGTATGCGATGGTAGTCCTGTAAGGTTACAATGGAGTGAAAAATTTCTGTCACCTAATGCCGACATCATGGCTGTCACAACATTGTATTGCAATTACTTTATTTGTTTAGAAACTTAGTGTAGCCTAAGTGTATGGTATTTATAAAGTCAACAGTAGTACACAGTAATGTTCTAGGCCTTCACATTCACTCACCACTCATTCACTGACTCACCTGGAGCAATTTCTAGTCTTGTAAGCTCCATTCATGGTAAGCACCCTAATGCAAGTGTACCATTAAAAATGTTTTTTCATAGTATCTTTTCACTGTATTTTTTCTGTATTTAGATACACAAATACCATTGTCTTACAATTACCTACAGTATTCAATAGAGGAACATGCTGTACAGGCTTGTAGCCTAGGAGCACTACGCTGTACTATATAGCCTAGGTGTCTAGTAAACTATACCATCTAGGTTTGTGTAAGTACACTCTGTGATGTTAGTACAGGATAAATTGTCTAAAAACATATTTCTCAGAATGTTTCCCTGTCATTGACATGTGACTGTAATTTTTTTATGGTAATAAAATGTCATTCTTTTAATGTATCCCACACATATAATTGACAGTTTTTGAGGAGCTAATATGTCCTAGGAACTGTCCTCAGCATGAGGAACACAGTAATGAATTAGACAGACAATGTCGCTGCTTGTAAGGATCAGGGGAGCAGTTAATGAATTGCTGCATTTTGAGCAGGATGGTGAATGTCTACTGCCTTGTCTGTCCTGCATCCCCTGTTTCCTCTGGACAACTGATTTCCTGCTGCTCCAATCATGTGATTCTGATGGGGCTGCTGACCACAGCGGAAGGTAGGCAATCCAGGTCCGGCTTTTCTTAGAATTGCATTCCTCTGGCCACAGTGATTGTTTCAAGTGAAGTCACTTGACTTAAACCAAAGCCAATCAAAGTCTTTTTAGGGATTTAGAATTTAGAAAACAGGAGAAGATAGAAGTTCTTTGATTTGTCATCACTGGGCTGGGATGAGATAATCCTGGAGTAAACTGTGGTGGTACATTTTGGCACATGGAGGAAGCCTTTTTGCAACAGAGGAAGCCTCACTTTTCCCACCCAGTTGTAAGTTCTGGCTACGTGGGTCTTCTGACTATTCTAAAAACATCAAACTCCTTGCCTCTTAAGGCATTTTGTTTGGAATGAAATGCCTTCTCCAGCCTCTTTGCCCAATGGATTCCTTCAAGTCTCATCTAAATTTCACAGACCTTTTCTTATTCCTCTACTTAAAGTAGTATCATTGCCAATATACTCTCTCATAGCACAATGTTTATTTCATTAATAGCAATTTCCAAATTTCAAAATAGCACTCTTTATTGTTATTGTTGTTGTCTGTTTCCTCCATATTGTATTATATTCCACAAATGCAAGAAATGCATTTGTCTCACTTATTTATTGTCTCCCCAGCACTATGCACACTGCCTGGCAGAGTACCCTTAATATTTGTTGAATGAATAAGTGGAAGAATGTGTAAAAAGATAAATGCTTCTCACTGACTGTAAGGTTGGAGGTCCATGATAAATGGAAATTATCCTTCCATTTCAGCATTGGTATGGTACATAAGCTATTTCATTTATCTTTTTACAAACCATCTTTTCAAAAAAAATCCTTAATCAAAAGAAAAAGAATATCTTGAGCTGAGTCTCAAACAGGATATCTCAATTGCAAAATATCTTTCTTAAAGTTTCACAGCTACCTAGACAAGAATATCTTCCCAACATTATAGGAAATTCCCACATTATCATGCATATGGGTAAAACCATTGAAGACTGGAGTAGAGAGAAGTCTTGACTCAGATTGGTGTCTACTGTACTCTCTTGGGTAAGTCATTTCCCATCTCTGTCCTAAGGTTTCTGTACCTGGCCCCTTTGTTTTCTAGCACTGAGACTTGCAGCAATTCACTCATTTCTGAGCTCCAGGATAGTCACAATGAATAGGGGTGAGAATAGTGGCCCCTAAAGAGATATGTCCATGTGCCAATCTTTGGAACCTATGAATTTTTTTTTTTTAATTTGGGAAAAGGGTCTTTGCAGATGTGATTAACTTCAGGCTTTTGAGTTGAGAGGATCATCCTAGATTATTCAGGTGGGTCCTAAATCCAATGACAAGTGTCCTTATAAGAGAAAGGCAGAGGGAGATTTGAGATCCAGTAAAAGGCAACGCGACCACAGAAACAGAGACTGATGTGATGTGGTCACAACTCAAGGAATGCCAGCAGCCACCAGAAGCTAGAAGAGTCAAATAATGGATTCTCCCCTACAGCCCCCAGAGGAAGCATGGCTCTGTGAGATTTTAGACTTCTGGCAAGCAGAAATGTAAGAGAATGCATTTCTGTTGTTTTAGCCAACAAGTTTGTGGTAATTTATATGGCAGCCCTAGAAAATAAACACAGTCCTCACTTGTACTACAGGTGTGACTGGGGGTCATTCTGCCCCCTGAGTTCAGACCCCACGTTGAGGCCAGGCTTTACTGTCACCACATTTAGTGACCTCACCACACCAACTCTAAGAACTTTAACAATTGATGTATATTTAGAGTAAAAACAGATATGGAGGACACCCTTATGTATATCATACCACAAAGCATTCTTAAGAATTTACCATTCACATTCCATTCTCCATGGCCACCGCTACTTCTCCCTCTTTCCCTGAGAACTCTCTTTTCCAGCTATCCACATCTTCCTTGTCTCCATCACCCTCTCCAAGTCCCTTTAGCCAATACATCAGCAAGTATTTAAAAAGGGCTCAATCTTGTCCAAGAAGCTATGGAGAGTTCCACTTACTACGAACGTTGTGAAAACATTAACATTGATAATAGTAGTAGGAAGGGTAACAGTAGCTGACAGTAACTGGTTGTGTGCAAGTAGCAGCCACTGTGCTAAGCACTTTCTTTGTATTCTATCTCTCAACCTTCAAAAATAGTGCCTTCTAAATGAGTTCTTTCCCAGATGCATTCAGGGTACAAGGCCCATCACATCCCTAGGACCCCCAGCGGTAGTATTGTCTTCTTGCCACACATTTACAAGCTGGTCGCGCCCTTCCAAAGGATCTCATTCCTCCAGGAGGGCATTTGATTCTAATCAGCAAATTGCAGAGAAAAGTTTCCTTTTAATATTTGTTGCACCACAACTGATTCCCTTCCCCTCTGACGTCTTGTCTATTATAGACTCTTATGGGAAGGGAGGATCTTGAGAGTGGACTCCTCACACAGGTACCTCCCACCTGCACTTGGAGGACAAGAAGGGAATCCAGAGGAGGGGGAGGAAAGGGAGAAAAGGTGGCTCTTCCAAGCCAGCTGTCTGTTAGAGAAACAAATTGAGTGCAGTTTGCCCCAGGAATATCAGGATTTTCTTTAACCTGGAGCTTAAACGGCAATCTTCTTAGGGTGGGAACTGTAGGGAAGGAGGCAGGAATCTAGAGAAAACTTCCACATACAATCTGTTCCAGCTGCTTGGGGGCACCCAAGGGTGGACAGCAAAATCTCCCCCTGAGTTGTCAGGGGGTTTCAGAACTCACTAATCACATCTAGTTTCAAAGCCTGTGGAGAAACCAGGGCCCAGGAACCCCTGGCTGGGAAAGGCATCCTTGGCTGCATCTTCCCTGATTGCCTTGCCTGCTACAACAGCTGGGCTCAGATACCCACTGCACGTGGCTCCACTGTGTCCGGCCCACAGATACAGCAAGGGCCCTGGAGGTTACCTATGGATGCATGCACAACGAATTACTCTCACTTTTTGCATCAGTACCAGCTCCCCTTTTGCTCTGAAAGCAGCTTTGCAAGTTTATCCCCACCTGTGTTCCTCCACTCCCGAGACCACTAGCTTTGCTAAATTGTTTATTGTGAGTTGCTTCTGCAGCACTTTTTCAGTCTCTCTCTTCTTGAACTTACATCACATCTCAGAATGATTTGTTTCCACTGCCGATCTTGCCTCCAGTCTAAGTACTTTGAAAGTAGGGGCTATATTTTATATATTCCATGTTCCCTAAGTGCCTAGCATTTGGCCTTTCATATAACAGATACTCAAATCTTTTTGTTTTACTAAACAACTATTCATTTAGTAGAGGGACTGCATAAGATGCTGTGTGAACAAACTAGGAGGGAACAAACTAGTGGAACTGCTGGTGTTCAAACCTACATTTTAATGAGAAAGCTAAGAAAATGCACAAACACAAACACACAGAGAGAGAGAAAGCATTAACATGGTACTAAATTTGATGCTAAATACAAGAAAAGAAGCTGTGCATGGTGACACATGCCTGTCATCTGAGCTACTTGGGAGACTGAGGCAGGAGAATCGCTTGAGCCCAGGAGTTCGAGACCAGCCTGGGCAACATACCAAGACCCTGTCATGCAAAGAAAAGAAAAGAAAAAAAGAAAAAAAAAAAAAAAGAGAAAAGAAACAAGTGTGGAAATGGAGAAGAGATAATGAAAACAAGGAGCTTAGATAAGGTGGGCAAGGGAAGGTTTCTTTGAGGTGGTGACATTTAAACCAAGACTTGAAGGGTGAGAAGGATCCAGTCAAGCCAAGAGCTGAGGAGGTTGGGGAGGGTGAGGGTGCATTTCTAGACAGAGAGGACTTGGAAGTTCAAAGGGACTAAGGTGGGAAAGAGAGTTTGACATGTTCAGAGAACTGAGGGGACTCCACTGTGGCTAGAGCTCAGCTGGTGAAGTTGGGGAAGGGAAGGGGGTTATATTGGGTTGGAAAACGTCTTCCTAAAATTCAAGTCCACCTGGAATGACCAAATATAACCTTATTTAGAAATAGTGTCTTCACAGATGTAGTTAAGATGAAATTATACTGGAGTAGAGTGGGCCCTAACCCAATGACTTGTGACCTTTCAAGAAGAGAAAACAGATGCAGAGACAAAGACAGAGACAGACAGGGAAGAAGGCCCCATGAAGACAGAGGTAGAGGTTGGAGTTACAAGTCTACAATCTAAGGAACACTGAGGGTTGCCGGCCATCACCAGAAGCTAAGTAGCAGCAAGAAAGGCTCCTCTCTCCTAGACCCTTCGAAGAGAGAATGGCCCGGCTGACTCTGATTTCAGACTTCTAACTGCCAGAACTGTGAACAAATACATTTCTGTTGCTTAAAGCCACAAAATGTGGTGATGTGTCATGGCAGCCCTAGGAAACTAATACATGGGTCAAGGAAAAGACTTTTTCTCTATTTTTTTTTTTTTTTTTTTTTTTTGAGGCAAAGGCTTACTCTGTCACCCAGGCTGGAGTCCAATGGTATGATCTCAGCTCACTGCAACCTCTGCCTCCCGGGTTTCAAGCAATTCTTGTGCCTCAGCCTCCCAAGTAGCTGTGATTGCAGGGATGTGCTACCATGCCCAGCTAATTTTTGTACTTTTATTCGAGATGGGGTTTCACCATGTTAGCCAGGCTGGTCTTGAACTCCTGACCTCAGATGATCCACCTGCCCGGCTTCCCAAAGTACTGGGATTACAGGCCTAAGCCACCACGCCCAGCCATGAAAAGACTGTTTCATCGTTAGTGAAATGGAAATCCATCACAGGGTGATAGGCTGTATCAAAAGCTGATTTTTTTTTTCAGGTTTGTGTTTTAAAAATGTGTCTCAAATGAGTAAAAAGAAGTCCTCGGACTCAGAACACTTCCCCACATCTTTCCAAGGCTACAATGTCTGTGCCATTTGCAGTGTCCTCCACCATGTAACTGCCCTCTGAGCAGGGACAACGTGGCACACTGGGAGATTAGTCATCTGATTTAACCGTCTCCACCATCAACCACTTGAGGTTTCAAAACATGTCCCTTCTATTTTTAAGCAAGCAGCAGTCTACTTCTGCATTATAAATTTAGTTCCCTTTTCCCCAGATACCTGGTGACGCCATGTGTTGTCCCTTGTCCTCCTCCTTCTAGCCCTCTTCAGTTCTAATGGAAAACATTACACAGTTCAAAGTCACTGTTAATTAATGCTGATGTTTGCTTTGCTGACATTGGTATGAAAAGTGCTTATTTGAGGGCGAGAGAGCATGTTTCTTCTAATTCTCAACACCACTTCAGTATGAACTTAAAAATCAATGGATGACTGGATTCAGATGAACATTTACAGTCTGAATTTTGCCATTCATGAATGCTAGCACCTGACACTTGGGGAAAAACAGGTAACTTAGGAGGAAGAATGGCCAAATGGGGAAATAGGGTAGAAGCTAGAAGGTTCTGGAGTGCACAGCTTTCTGCAGCCTGGCAGCATTTAGAGTTCTCAGCGTATTAGAGTTCTGGAGAAAATAATTTTCCTTCTTCCTTAAAATTGATGGATTCACTCATAGTTCTCATCCATTCAAGATGAAAAGTTTCCTGATTAGGAATTTGAACCTCAGTCTTTACCAGTTGTAACAAGGAATTTTGAGTTGGAGCACTCAGTGCCAGTTACTGAACCAAATGTTGCATATTCTTCATATCATTTAAGAAGGAAAATGGGCACCATTGGAGTTACAAGTCTGCAAGCTAAGGAACACCAAGGGTAGCCGGCCATCACCAGAAGCTAAGCAGCAGCAAGAAAGGCTGTCATTTATTGAGTGTCATAATCTTGGCTGGTACTTCATATACATTATTTTATATAATTCTGTCATTTCAGGGTAGTAAAGTATGAACTTGGAGTCCACACCTCGGTTTAAATCCTGGTTCTGCAACTTAGTAGCTAAACAACTTCGATTAGTTGCTTAATCTCTCTAAGCCTCAGTTTCCTCATCTATAAAATGGAAATAATAAAAATGTCAATCTTATTAAAATTAAATGAAATCCTGTAATACTGTCTGGCTTATAATGATGATTACAAGAATCATAATGATAATAGTAATAATTACTGTAGCATTTACTAAGTGCAAAGAGTTTACAAATGTGACCATTGAAAAGCAGAGAAGTCAGAAACTTGTCCTTTGTTAAACAGCTAAAGTGTGGTATAGGTGGAATTTGATCCATTAACGTTAGCCATTGTTAGGGTTATAATCTGGAGTTCTAACTACAGTGTTTTGTACAAAGTGCATGCTGAATAAATATTTGCAGACTGATAAATTATAGGCAGTATATTCTTGCCAGGGGAGAATCTTGGATCTTGTTTAATAGTCTCCACTTATATGGGATTTGGCTAATATAATTGGTTTCTTTCTTCACTGGATTCCACAGAGATAGGCCATTCCCCTTTGCTTCTCAGTGTTTGCTGAGTCTGAGCAGAAAGTATTTTCTAGCTGTGATTTGGGAAGAATGACATCAGCTTAAGAAACACATTTAAAACATCCATACTTCAAGGCTGAGGTATAGGCCTACTCTTCCAGGAAGCTTTGAAATTTCCCTTTCATTTGAAGCCCTGCAGGGCCCTTCCACCCAGGTCTTTCTTTTGCTTCTTATTAAATAGGTTTGTAATGTACTGTTTGCTGGCTCTTGGTCCCTTTGACATGCTGTAGAATCCTTGCCAGCCCTCAAAATCTCCTAGAGTTATTTTCAGGAGCTCTTTGTGGAGTTTCACATACACTGATGCAACTTTGGCCTCCTCCTTGATATCTGTGGCCCAGGAATCCACTAACGATGTATTCATCCAACATTCCAGCTGCCAGGGTCCTCTGTGAACACTGATTCTCTGTCCACGAAGCTTCCAAAGACACAAACCCTACTGGGGCTAAAATGACGCTACTTTATAGAAATACTGCAGATACTGTCCCTCTCTGCAACTTATTGTTCCACTCTGTCTTATTGATCCTGCAGTGCCTTTACTTATGCTCATCTCTCACGAAGTCCTCCAGGTAAACAGCTCCATTAGCCTCTCCTTGTATCACCTATCACCTTCAGCCTCAGACTACAGCCAGGCTGAGTGACTGGGAGATGTCTGATTTTTCCTTTGCAGCTCTTACTACAAAATGGCAATCACATATTTATTTTGTGCAAATTCCATCTAATGTCTATCTTTCCAATTAGAGGGCAAACTCCATGAGGGAATGGATTGAATATGCTTTATCATTCCTATATCCAGAGTAGCACAGTCTTGAACATAGCAGTGCTTAATAAAAATGTATTAAATGCATGACTACTTTGTTCTTCTGAACCCATTCTCCCCCAAATCAGGTATCCAGGTAAAGACGACAGGAGTTCTAACTCAAATCAATGCCTAGGAAGAGCTCAACCACTCACCTGGACCTCTAGCAATATACAGGCCAAGCCCAAGTTCACCAGTTAATGAGACAGAATCGAAACCTGGATTCCAAGTTCAGGCTTTGAGCTTAGTTAAAAGAGGTTTACGTGATCCTTCCCACACGGTTCTTCGAAACAGATTGGGAAGCTCTGGAGGTGGGAACAATGCCTTCTTCATCTTAGCATCTCCCACCTCATCTAGCATAATGCCTAGCAAAGAAGATCTTCCCAAGAAATATTTATCGGATGCAGGCAGCAAACATGATGGTCAAGATGAACGTTTGCCAGCATAGTAGAGTTCCCATTGATCTGCTGCAGTCTTCCAGCTGTGTCTGTAGAGGTGTTGGTTGAGACGTTGAAGGGATTTCTGCGACAACTTTTCCCTTCAGATTGCCTCTCTGGAAATGGTTAATACCAGTTCACATTAGGTGCGGAGAAACAATTTCCTAAAAATATAGATGGGGCATAAAAGCCTAACATAAGCTGAGGAAGATGACCACCTCATGACTGCCTTCTTCCACAGTAGTCAACGGGATGGGCTAAGGGCTTCCTGATTTGTCCCAATTTGTAAAGAATTTGTAAGCTGACATTACCTGAGGAAAAAATCAAGAACACGCCTAACTTAAAACCATTGCCTGTTTTCAAGCCAACCTATATCAGTGGTTCTCAACTGGAAGCAATTTTGTCCCCCAGAGGACATTTGGCAATGTCTAGAGGCATTTTTGGTTGTCGCACCTGGGGAAGTCTACCGATATCTAGATGAGACAATGCCTGCGATATTGTTAAACATCTATGGTGAATGCACAGAACATTTCCCACCAGTCATCTCCCCAACAAAACATCAGTAGAACTGAAGGGGAGAAACCCTGACTTAGACAAGTTCAAAATGCATGGTAAGGGACACTGCTAAGTTCACATGGAGAGCCTGATACCTACTGCTTAAGGCACTTGAGTTCTTTTCCATTTCTTCCAGCCTAAAGTTAGTTGCTAATGGCTTCAGCCTCCTGAATGTGGAGACTGTACATTAGGGGGCAGCTTGGTTTCAGACTTGCAACCGCTGCTGTGTCAGGATTCAAAGTATCAGAGTGTGTGTGGGGATGCTTTTGTCTGGCTTCTTCTCATCTTTCTCTTGCTGAGCTCAAGTGGGAGGTTTCTCTTCAGTTTCACGATTCTTCATCCCCCATCCCCATTCCAGAAAAAGGCAGGAGGGGAGATAATTGGGGGACAACATAAGGTTGTCAGCTGCTTGCTCAGAAGGAAGGAGTTACTTCCAGCTGAACTCACTCTCCTGCACATGCTCCCTGGGCAGACTTTTGCTATCATGGGCTTTCTCCGTGACATGCTCCTGTTCAAAAGGCTTCTGTTGGCTCACTTGGCATGGTGGGCTTGGAACCAGCTGACCTGGGCTTGACTAGCTATATAACTTTAGATCTCTAAACCTCAGTTTTTTTCCTTTTTGTTGAAGGAGGATGTTGTCATCAACTGTTTAGGTTGTGCTATATGGATTAAGAAACCACACTATCACTGCTGTTGACCACTACCCCAGTTAACATTGCCATGAAGATTATCACGTACCAGGAACTGTGCTAAATGCTTTACACATTATTTGATTTAAGCTTCATTGTAACCTACTTTTTAGAGGCATCAACTGAGGCATAGGAAGAGGCTACTTGGGCCAGGCACGGCGGCTCACACCTGTAATCCCAGCACTTTGGGAGGCTGAGGAGGGCAGATCACAAGGTCAGGAGTTCAAGACCAGCTTGGCCAACATGGTGAAACCCCGTCCCTACTAAAAATACAAAAATTAGCCGGGCGTGGTGGTGCATGCCTGTAATCCCAGCTTCTTGGGAGCCTGAGGCAGGAGAATCATTGGAACCCCGGAGGTGGAGGTTGCAGTGAGCCAAGATCATACCACTGTACTCCAGCCTGGGTGACAGAGCAAGACTCCATCTCAAAAAAATAAAATAAATAAAAAGAGGTTACTTGTTCAAGGTCACATAGCTTGTACTTGGTAGAATAATTTAAACCTGGTGGTCCTACCACTAAACTCTCCTTAATTAATACTGAGAAAGAGCTCTGGATAATGTGAGGTGCTATGCAATCTCAGAATCTTTTCCCCATGATTTATATTTGTTATTTATTTAACTGGTATTTATTGAGTGCCTCTTAGATGTCAGAGACTATGCTAGAGGAGGTCAACACAGATTTTTTTTTTCAACGTTGCCCCTGTAGGATTCATGGGGAGGCAGAAATCAAATTTCTGACTCCAGTTCCTGACTGGAACTGGAGTTACTGTGCCCTGATGTCCTCCTGTGTTCCAGAGCAGATTCAGTGCAAAAATACAAAACAAAAACAAAACTAAGTCAAATGTCCTACCCTTGCACCCATACATAGAGATAAGCAGATCTATTTGGCCAAATAGCTACTTCTATAAGGGATGAGGGTTGTGTGTTGTGTAGTCATCACTTCCTTAGGAAACATTTTTCATCTTTGTCAAAGTCCCCTTTTTGCAGTCTTATTGTAGTATGCACTTCTCCTTCTCAGCAGTTGTCTGGTCTCAATTGTATACTCATATGTGTGTATGTGATAAATAGATGAACTATGTTGTACTGTTTTGTTCATCATTTGTTCCTCAGTGTCTACTTCTGGGGTGGAATATAGAGAGTGTTCTATAAATATCTAATAAATGAACTTGAGTTCATACTATGTGTCAGCTCCTGTGCTAGGATCTTCACGTGCATTATCTTACATGTGAGAATGGATGAGTACTGACATTTTCCAGAGGGGGAAAACAGGCTTATGAGCCCATAGTCATATAGCTGGTAAATTAGGATTCTAACCCAGGTTCATATAGATCCAAAGACCCATGTCCCTTTAGTATCAAACTAGACTGGAGTTTGAAAACTACACATTTGCAAATTTGCAATCATCTTGCAGAGAGTATGATCACAGTGGGGACTGTGAGCTCCAGATTCAGTCATTTTGAGTTCAAATCTTGGTTCCATTACTTCACAACTGTTGGACCTTGGGATATGTGTGCATCTTATGACTCACTTTTCCTTATAAATAAAATAGAAATAAAAAACAGTAGCACCTCATGATGTTATTGTGAAGGCTAGTTGGATTACAGCTGTCCCTGCATATATGCAAGAGATTGGTTTCAGTAACCCCCCACCACCAAAATCCATTCATACCAAAGTCCTGCTGTCAGTATTGCAGAATTATGTGTACCAAAAAATGGCCTTCCAGATACATGGGTTCCCTCAAATATTGTATTTTCAATTTGTATTTGGCCAAAAAAAAGCTGTGCATACATGGACCCGTGCAGCTCAAACCTGTGCTATTCAAGGGTCAACTAAATTTGTGACGTGTTTAGAATAGTGCTTGGCACATTGTATGTGTCTATATATTACATGTGTTTGCTTTTATTCTCCTTGTTGGAGAAAGAAGAGCTTTAAAGACTATATATCATTGTTTATGTATCATTTTTAGGATTCTGCACATGAAGTATACTAATCTGATAAGAAATGTTGAAATTTATGTGCTGATGACAAAAATAATTTAGCAGTAATTAATAATAATGTGTGTCTCCTGCATGGCAGCTCCTCAGCGTATCCACATTAAACAATCACTTGTATTTAACAACATCTTGTTAAATTTAATTGTCTTGTTAAATCTGAATTAAGTGTGTCTTAAAGAAGCTATTTAGATCATCACTGAGGTTTTAAGCTGTCTGCTCATTTTAGAAATTGAACCAGAGCTGCCCAGAATGCTGTTAATTTCAGGTTTGGCACACGCATGTGGACATTTCTGGGTTACTACACTAACTGGGTCACGCTCACCTGGAAGGGCCACCAAGACTAACCCACATTCTCCAGAGCCAGAAACCTGTCTCGCCGCCTGCCTGCCAGGGCCCCAGGTACAGTGAAATGTGAGGCACTTAAGAGCATTTACACGGTGTGGGCAGTGGCCCCTAGTGCCCCAGAGGCTCTTGTTATCTTGTCTGTGTTTGACTGCTGTTTATGTGTGTGAGCAGCCGGCTCCAGATTTAGGGTGGAGAGGGTATTAGTCAGGGTTCTCCAGAGAAACAGAACCAAGAAGATATGTATGTGTGTGCATATTTATATTTACTATAAGGAATCGGCTCACACAATGATGGAGGCCAAGAGGTCCTGCAATCTGTCATCTGCAAGCTGGAGATGGGGGAAAGCCAGTGGTTCCAAGCCCTAAGGCCTCAGAACCAGCAGAACCAATAATGTACATCCTAGTCCAAGGGCAGGAGACCCATGGCCTAGCTCAAGGCATCAGGCAGAGAGAGTGAGTTCTCCCTTCCTCCACTTTTGTGTTCTCTTTTGGTCCTCAACAGATTGTATAAAGCCCACCCACACTGGGGACAGCCATCTGCTTTACTCTGTCCACCAGTTCAAATGTTAATCTCTTCTGGAAACACTCTCACAGATACACCCAGAAATCATGTTTAACCGGATACCTGGGCATCCTGTAGTCTAGTCAAATTGATACATAAAATTAACCATCACAGAGGGATTCCATGTAAAGAGAGTTGCCAGTCCAATTACACTCCCCTGACCCAGATAAAGGTCAACTGTGTTCCTGACACAGATCAAGGTAAGCAGGCAATCAGCATAACATCTGAAAAACAAGCTAGCAGGCTGAGTTTTGGAGGGCAGACAGATCCTGCCATCTTTCCTTCATAAGAAAACACACACATAAGGTTATCCCCCAGAACCTAGGGAATAAGGTTCAGACAACAAAAATGCAAGCTGAGAGTGGGGTTTCTTTTTACCGCTGTTTGTCTTTCAGAACTTTGGCGAAGAGGTCTTGGGAAGATGATCTTTATTGTCTAAGGAAGGGGGGGATAATGATGATAGGAACAACAACAATGATTAACATGGACTGAACTCTTAGCATGTGCTAGGCGTTTGACTAATATGTTTTTAATCCACTCAACAACCCTATTTACACAGATGCTATTTTTATTCCCATTTTATAGTTGAGGTAATTGAGAGGACAGAGTTTGAGTAACTTATTCAAGGTCACTTATCTGTAAATGGCAGAGTAAAGACTTAATCTTGGGAAATATGTATTCTTGACCAATATGCCATCCTGCCTTCTAGAATTCACCATCTTTTGCAGATGTTTATGGCAACAGAGCACTTTGTCACCCTCCAGTTACTGTAGGGAAATTTCCTTCATGTAGGAGGTCAACAGAGTGCAAATGAAATTAGCCTCATTTTCAAGAAAAGAAAAGACAAACGGGGAAGAAAAAGTACAGAGATGCACAGCTCAACCCAGTAAAGAGAGAATCTAGCAATAAATTAGAACCATGGTAGAAAACGATACATATACCTGTTAAAAAGGAATGAACAGTTCTGTTCCACCAATATGGAAATTACAAGGGAGAAATCAAGGGGCAGAAATGTATCTATAGTTGCTCGTATTGTGTTGCAAAAATAAAATTTACATGTATGTTTATAAATGCATGAAGTTTGCTGGTAAGAGTGATTGTCTCTGGTAAGGGAAACTATTTGGTGAGGGGCAAGGAAGGAGGGAAACTTAATTTTCACTGTAAACCATTTTTTTTGGCTTTTAAGTATTGTGCCATATGCCTAGATTACCTATTCAAAATGGACTTTTTAAGTTAGAGCTGAGAAAGAGAATGGGCTGTGCTTTGAGATGCTGAGCACACAGAGAATATTTAGACAGTGAGGATACCTTATCAGAGATGTTGTAAAGAATACTTTGATAACTCAGCACTCAACAATTGGATACTTTTTTTAAGCACATGTGTAACAGATTTTATAAAGCTATAATAATTAAACACAATGTATTAACTCAAGGGTAGACAAACAGTCCAATGAAATAGAATGGAAAATTGAGAAACTGATGGAGGAAGGATGGACCTCCATAGTGATAAATAGCATTAGGATAACTGAACACTCTCTGTATCCATATGATAAAAACAGAACTATTTGATCATACAATATATAATATTCTAGATGAATTCTTTTTAAATGTGATAATGTTGAATTTAATCTGAATGCTGTATTCCCTAAAATGCAGCGATAGCAGAGAAATCTCTTTATGCTTCTAAGTTTCTAGAACTGACCAACTACAATGGGCTACCCTGCTCTCACATGTTCCTACATATGGCTGACTTCTACCTTTCTCAGTGAATATGACTCCTTTTTGTACCTGCCTTTAAAAAGCCCCAAGTCCCCTGGTCTTTTACTTGAGATGCTTCTCATTAATGAATGCTATCTCTACTATAATAGCTTGAATAAAATAATCTCCATTGTCAAAAAACAGACGGGAGAGAGTTCTAAAGAAACATACTCAAAGTCAATATGAACACCTTGACTGGATCTTTATTCCATTAAAAAATCTGTAAAAGACACACTTGGAAAAGTGGAGAAGTTTAAATATGGACTGAATATTAGAATGCGTTGAATTATGGTAAATCTTCTAAGGTGTGACAATAAAATTGTGTTTGTGTAAGAAAAAAAGAAGACTTTGGAGAAAAGATTGGGGCTTCGAAACTTTCTAATGAATTTGCGATTTTATTATTCTGATATCCCCGGAAATGGTGATTGTAGCATATTCCCTATGAGGACAATACTTTGAGCATGGCAAGTTGTCTCTGAGAGTTATCAGAGGATCCTATACCATGAGCATGGCTTTGGTGACTTCAAAACTTTTGTGGACAAATTTGACTTTGTGTGTTCTGTTTTTGCTAATCATTTATCCTTCAAAAGGCTGAAGAATCTATATCATCACCTCTCCTCCACTTCCTAATTATCATTCCATTTAATCAGTTTTAAATAAACCTTTCCCTACCTTAACTGGATTGGCCACATTATTCTCTCTCCCTGGAATGTTCTGCCCCAAACTCTTGGTATGACTGGATCTTTCTTATCCTTCCCATTCAACCCAAATTAGCCATTTACAGGAAGATTTTCTGTTACCATTTTATCTAGGCAGATCCTCCATTGTTCTCTAATACACTGCCTCATTTCTTATTGATAAAGAAATGTATGCTCACTTTCTAGGGCTGCCATAACAAAGTGCCCCAAAACAAGTGACTTAAAGAGAATACATCTATTGTCTCAGTTCTGGAGGCTCGAAGTCTGAAATCAAGGTGATGGTAGGATCGGTTCCTTCTGGGGGCTGTGAGGAAGCATCTGTTCCATGCTTCTTCCCTGGTTGCTGGTGGTTTGCTGGCAGTCTCTAGTATTCCTTGGCTTGTGGAAGCATCACCCCAATATCTGCTTTCATGTTTACATGGTGTTCTACGTGTGTTCCTGTCTCTGTATCCAAATTCCCCATTTTTACAAGGACACCAAGTGTATTAGATTAATTTTAAAATTTTTCTCTAATTCGGGTTAATTTTTACTGTGAAGGCTACATAGTAAAAATTTTAGGCTTTATAGGCACTAGTTGTTCTCTGTAGCTTGTTTTACTTCTTCTAAACAAATCTTTAAAAATAAGAGAAAAATTCTTAGCCTGTAGGCCATTTAAAAACAGACTCTGCTGGCCAAAATGGGCATGGGAGTAGCAGTTGCTGATCCCTGCTCTAAACTGATGGTTTTTGTTATCATTTTATTTCATATTATCCATCTATGGCCACTAGAAAGATAGATGACCAAGTTTAAAAAAATTTTTTTTCTACTTGACACGTAATAATTATATATATTTCTGGTGTGCATAGTGATGTTGCAATACATATGCAATACATATGGTGATGAGATCAGGGTAATCAGCATATCCATCATCTCAAACATTTATCATTTCTATGTGTTGGGAACATTCAATATCCTCTTTCTAGCTATTTGAAACTGTATAATATATTATTGTTAACAATAGTCATCTTACGGTGCTATAGAATATTGAAACTTATTCCTCCTGTCTAGCTGTAATTTAGTTTTTCTCTCTTACTGTGCTTGTCTGGTTTTGACTTCAAGATTATGTTAATTTTAAATATGAATTGGAAGTGTTATTTCCTGTTCTAGCACAGTTTAACAGTGATGTTATCTGTTCCTTAAACATAGAACTCATCTGAAAAATTGCATTGGTATGTGCAGAAGGGATCGGGACTGAGAGATTTTTTAGCTATTCATTCTATTTTCTTTAATGGCTGTGATCTCTTATTGGATATCAGGCTTCTTGGCTCTTTAGTGACCATTTGGCTTTTCTTTTTCTTGAATCAAATGTGATAAATTGTATGTCTTTAAGACATTGGTCAGGTAACCTAAAGCTTTCAAAATTGTTGACCTGAAGTTGTACATAATATTTTGGATCTCTTGTTAACCTCTACAGTATCTAATCTTTCTTTACATGATGAATTTTGCCAGGAGTAAGTTTGGTTTGTGTCTTTTTAGAAAATGAATTATTTACCTTTTATTTTTTCCTCTAGTTCATTAGTTTGTTTTTTAAATTTCTTATTATTTTTCAACTATTGTACTAGGTTTTTTGTATATTAATTATGTCATCTTCTTTCATAATATGGAAATTTCAGGCATTAATTTTTCTACCATGGTTTGCAATTTGATATGTAGCATTTTCATTTTTTGTGCTAAATATTTTCAGTTTCTATTATCCTTTTTTGACCTATTTAAAGTTTTAAAAATATTCCTAAATGTATGAGATTTTTAAAAAGTTATCTTTTTATCATCAATAATTTAATCACTCTAAATTGGTTGGTATGATACCAATTATTTAGATTTATGAAGATTTGTTTATGTCTAGTGCATGGAAAATTTTGTAAATTTTGGTGTGTGCTTAAAGAGAATACCTATTCTCTAATTTGGGTGGTGGGTTCTCTGTGTGTCCATTTCATCAAGCTTGCTAAATGTATTATTCATGTCTTTCTAAATGCTTAAATTTTCATATGCTTGACCTTGTAATTAATCAGAAAGCAATTCTAACTTTCCATCAAAATTGTGGTTTTATAATTCTGTAAATTTATTTATACTTATTATGAGGCTATGTCCTTAGATGCATGAAAATTTTAGATTTCCTTATGGATTGTAATTTTTATCAGAGTTGTAAGCCTCCTTATTTCTAGCAATAATATTGCTTTAGTGTCTTTTTCATGTGATGTTGATCTTGCTTGCTATGCCAACATTTTTTTCAGTTACAAACTTTATCCTATTTGGGGTTTGTTCAACTTGTTGGATTTGTAATTTTATAGTTATCATCACGTTTGAGAAATATTCAGCCATTATCAAATATCAAAATCAAAAGTCCAGTAGGATAGGGCACCAGTCAGAGTTTTGAGTCCCGCTTTGCAGGACCCAGCTCTCAGATGACATTTCTAGACACACCCTGGGCCAGAAGGGAATCTCTGCCTTGAAGGGAAGGACCCAGTCCCAGTCCTGGCAGGACCCATCAACTGCTGACTAAAGAGCCCTTGGGCCATGAATAACCAGTAGCAATATCTAGGTAGTATGCAATGAACCTTGGGTGACACTCTGAAACTTGTTGGCTTCAGGCGAGACTCAGCATATTCTCATTGGGAGTGATTATGGGGAGAGGTTCCTTCTGCTTGAGAAAAGCAGAGGGGAAAGTAATAGGACTTTATCTTGCACCTTATGTACCAGCTCAGCTACAGGGGAGTAGAGAACCAAGTGGGTTCTTGGGGTCCCTGATTCCAGGCCTTGGCTCTTGGACAGCATTTCTGGATCTGCCCTGGGCTAGAGGGGAGCCCAGTACTTGGAAGGGTGATTCCCAGACCAGGCAGCATTCATCACAAGCTGCTGAAGAGCCCTTGGACTTTAAGGAAATGCTAGTGGTAGCCTGGCAATACTTCCCGTGGATCAGTAGTTGTAGTGGCCATGGTGTGGCCATTTCCCCCTCTTCCTACCCCTGCCTATGGAAAGGGAAAATTAGAGTGGGAAGTACTGTGTCCCATGGTTTGAGTGCCAGCTCAGCTGCAATACAGCAGAACACCAGGTAGATTTCTAAGGTTTTTGACTCCAGTCCATGGCTTCCAGACAGTATCTCTGGACCCACCAAGGGCCTGGGGGAACTCATTACTCTGAAAGGAAGGATACAAACCTGGCTGCCATTGCCACCTGCTGATTTTAGAGCTCCAGGGCCTTGAGCGCACATAGGCAGTAGCCAGGTAGTAGTTACACTAGGCTTGTGTGAGACCCACTGCTGTGCTGGCTTCATGTCTGACCCAGTGCAGTCTCAGTGGTGGTGGCCACAGGGGTGCCTGTGTTACTCCACCCCCAGCTCCAGACAGCTCTGAACAGAGAGACAGAGACAGAGACAGAGACAGAGAGAGAGAGAGAGAGAGAGAGAGAGAGAGAGAGAGAGGGAGAGGGAGAGAGATTCCTCTTGTTGGGAGAAAGTAAGGGAAGACAACAAGAGTTTCTGCCTTGTAATCCAGAAAATTCTTCCAGGTCTTATTCAAGACCATCAACGTGGTACCTCTACAAGTCTGTAAGAACCACAGTGTTATTGGGCTTTGGATGACCCTTAATGCAGATACAGTTAGATCACAACAGTCAAGTTCTTCCAAATACCTGAAAGGCCTTCCCAAGGAGGATGGGTAGAAACAAGCCCAGATTGTGAAGCTATAATAAATACTTAACTATTTAATTAAGAGACAGATGAAGACTCAGGACTATACTGGAAAACATGACCTCACTAAATGGACTAAATAAGGTACCAGGGACCAATCCTGGAGAAACAGAGATAGGTGACATTTCAGGGAATTCAAAATACCTGTTTTGAGGAAACTCCAAGAAATCAGGATAACACAGAGAAGGAATTCAGAATTCTATCAGATAAATTTTAAGAAGAGTTTGAAATAATTAAAAGGAATCAAGCAGAAATTCTGGAGTTGAAAAATGCAATTGACATACTGAAGGATTCATCAGAGTCTTTAATAGCAGAATTGATCAGGCAAAAGAAAGAATTAGTGAGCTTGAAGACAGAATATTTGAAAATACACCATCAGAGGGGACAAAAGAAAAAAAGAATAAAAAAGAATAAAGCACACCTACAGGATCTAGAAAATGGTTTCAAAAGGGCAAATCTAAAAGTTATATTGGCCTTAAAAGTGATAGAGGAAGAGATACGTGTAGATAGTTTTTTCAAAGGGCTAACAGAACTTCCCAAATCTAAGGAAACATATTAATATTCAAGCACAAGAAGGTTGTAGAACACCAAACAGATTTAATCCAAAGAAGACTACCTCAAGGCATTTAATAATCAAACTTATGAAAGTCAATAATAAAGAAAGAATCTTGAGAGAAATAGCAAGATGGCCAAATAGGAACAGCTCCAGTCTACAGCTCCCAGTGTGAGTGATGCAGAAGATGGGTGATTTCTGCATTTCCAACTGAGGTACCAGGTTCATCTCACTGGGGAGTGTCAGAAAGTGGATGCAGGACAGTGGGTGCAGTGCACCGAGCATGAGCCGAAGCAGGGCGAGGCATCGCCTCACCCGGGAAGCACAAGGGGTCAGGGAATTCCCTTTCCTAGTCAAAGAAAGGGGTGACAGATGGCACCTGGAAAATCGGGTCACTCCCAACCTAATACTGCGCTTTTCCAATGGTCTTAGCAAACGACACACCAGGAGATTATATCCCGCGCATGGCTTGGAGGGTCCTACGCCCACAGAGCCTCGCTCATTGCTAGCACAGCAGTCTAAGATCAAACTGCAAGGCAGCAGTGAGGCTGGGGGAAGGGCACCCACCACTGCTGAGGCTTGAGTAGGTAAACAAAGCAGCTGGGAAGCTCGAACTGGGTGGAGCTCACTGCAGCTCAAGGAGGCCTGCCTGCCTTTGTAGACTCCACTTCTGGGGGCAGGGCATAGCCAAACAAAAGGCAGCAGAATCCTCTGCAGACTTAAATGTCCCTGTCTGACAGCTTCGAAGAGAGTAGTTGTTCTCCCAGCACGCAGCTGGAGATCTGAGAACGGACAGACTGCCTCCTCAAGTGGGTCCCTGACCCCTGAGTAGCCTAACTTGGAAGCACCCCCCAGTAGGGGCAGACTGACACCTCACACGGCAGGGTACTCCTCTGAGACAAAACTTCTGGAGGAATGATCAGGAAGCAACATTTGCTGTTCACCAATATCTGCTGTTCTGCAGCCTCCACTGCTGATACCCAGGCAAACAGGGTCTGGAGTGGACCTCCAGCAAACTCCAACAGACCTGTAGCTGAGGGTCCTGACTGTTAGAAGGAAAACTAACAAACAGAAAGGACACCCACACCAAAACCCCATCTGTACGTCACCATCATCAAAGACCAAAGGTAGATACAACCACAAAGATGGGTAAAAAACAGAGCAGAAAAACCAGAAACTCTAAAAATCAGAGCACCTCTCCTCCTTCGAAGGAACGCAGCTCTTCACCAGAAACGGAACAAAGCTGGAAGGAGAATGACTTTGACAAGTTGAGAGAAGAAGTCTTCAGACGATCAAACTACTCCGAGCTAAAGGAGGAAGTTCGAACCCATGGCAAAGAAGTTAAAAACCTTCAAAAAAAAAATTAGATGAATGGCTAACTAGAATAACCAATGCAGAGAAGTCCTTAAAGGACCTGATGGAGCTGAAAACCATGGCAAGAGAACTACGTGATGAATGCACAAGCCTCAGTAGCCGATTCGATCAACTGGAAGAAAGGGTATCAGTGATGGAAGATCAAATGAATGAAATGAAGTGAGAAGAGAAGTTTAGAGAAAAAAGAGTAAAAAGAAACGAACAAAGCCTCCAAGAAATATGGGACTATGTGAAAAGACCAAATCTACGTCTGATTGGCGTACCTGAAAGTGACGGGGAGAACGGACCCAAGTAGGAAAACCCTCTGCAGGATATTATCCAGGAGAACTTCCCCAATCTAGCAAGGCAGGCCAACATTCAAATTCAGGAAATACAGAGAACACCACAAAGATACTCCACGAGAAGAGCAAGTCCAAGACACATAATTGTCAGATTCACCAAAGTTGAAATGAAGGAAAAAATGTTAAGGGCAGCCAGAGAGAAAGGTCAGGTTACCCATAAAGGAAAGCCCATCAGACTAACAGCTGATCTCTCAGCAGAAACTCTACAAGCCAGAAGAGAGTGGGGGCCAATATTCAACATTCTTAAAGAAAAGATTTTTTAACCCAGAATTTCATATCCAGCCAAACTAAGCTTCATAAATGAAGGAGAAATAAAATCCTTTACAGAGAAGCAAATGCTGAGAGATTTTGTCACCGCCAGGCCTGCCCTAAAAGAGCTCCTGAAGGAAGCACTAAACATGGAAAGGAAAAACTGGGACCAGCCACTGCAAAGACATGACAAATTGTAAAGACCATCGAGGCTAGGAAGAAACTGCATCAACTAATGAGCAAAATAACCAGCTAACATCATAATGACAGGATCAAATTCACACATAACAATATTAACCTTAAATGTAAATGGGCTAAAATGCTCCAATTAAAAGACACAGACTGGCAAATTGGATAAAGAGTCAAGACCCATCAGTGTGCTGTATTCAGGAAACCCATCTCATGTGCAGAGACACACATAGGCTCAAAATAAAGGGATGGAGAAAGATCTACCAAGCAAATGGAAAGCACAAAAAAAAGCAGCAGTTGCAATCCTGGTCTCTGATAAAACAGACTTTAAATGAACAAAGATCAAAAGAGAAAAAGAAGCCCATTACATAATGGTAAAGGGATCAATTCAACAAGAAGAGCTAACTATCCTAAATATATATGCACCCAATACAGGAGCACCCAGATTCATAAAGCAAGTCCTTAGAGACCTACAAAGAGACTTAGTCCTTAGAGACCTACAAAGAGACTTAGACTCCCACACAATAATAATACGAGACTAACACCCCACTGACAACATTAGACAGATCAACGAGACAGAAAGTTAACAAGGATATGGAGGAATTGAACTCAGCTCTGCACCAAGTGGACCTAATAGACATCTACAGAACTCTCCACCCCAAATCAACAGAATATATTCTTTTCACCACCACACAATACCTATACCAAAATTGACCACATAGTTGGAAGTAAAGCAATCCTCAGCAAATGTAAAAGAACAGAAATTATAACAAACTGTCTCTCAGACCACAGTGCAATCAAACTAGAACTCAAGATTAAGAAACTCACTTAAAACCACTCAACTACATCGAAACTGAACAATCTGCTCCTGAATGACTACTGGGTACATAACGAAATGAAGGCAGAAATAAAGATGTTCTTTGAAACCAGTGAGAACAAAGACACAACATACCAGAATCTCTGGGACACATTTAAAGCAGTGTGTAGAGGGAAATTTATAGCACTAAATGCCCACAAGAGAAAGCATGAAAGATCTAAAATTGACACCCTAACATCACAATTAAAAGAACTAGAGAAGCAAGAGCAAACACATTCAAAAGCTAGCAGAAGGCAAGAAATAACTAAGATCAGAGCAGAACTGAAGGAAAGAGAGACATAAAAAATGAATGAATCCAGGAGCTGATTTTTTGAAAAGATCAATAAAAATTGAGAGACTGCTAGCAAGACTAATAAAGAAGAAAAGAGAGAAGAATCAAATAGACACAATAAAAAATGATAAAGGGGATATCACCACCAATCCCACAGAAATACAAACTACCATCAGAGAATACTAGAAACACCCCTATGCAAATACACTAGAAAATCTAGAAGAAATGGATAAATTCCTGGACACATACACCCTCCCATGACTAAACCAGGAAGAAGTTGAATCTCTGAATAGACCAATAACAGGATCTGAAATTGAGGCAATAATTAATAGCTTACCAACCAAAAAAAATCCAGGACCACATGGATTCACAGCCGAATTCTACCAGAGGTACAAGGAGGGGCTGGTACCATACTTTCTGAAACTATTCCAATCAACAGAAAAAGAGGGAATCCTCCCTAACTCATTTTATGAGGCCAGCATCATCCTGATACCAAAGCCGGACAGAGACACAAGAAAAAAAGAGAATTTTAGACCAACATCCCTGATAAACATCGATGCAAAAATCCTCAATAAAATACTGGCAAACCAAATCCAGCAGCACATCAAAAAGCTTATCCGCCATGATCAAGTGGCCTTCATCCCTGGGATGCAAGGCTGGTTCAACATATGCAAATCAATAAATGTAATCCAGCATATAAACAGAACCAAAGACAAAAACCATATAATTATCTCAATAGATGCACAAAAGGCCTTTGACAAAATTCAACAGCACTTCATGCTAAAAACTCTCAATAAATTAGGTATTGAAGGGACGTATATCAAAATGATAAAAGCTATCTATGACAAACCCACAGCCAATATCATACTGAATGGGCAAAAACTGGAAGCATTCCCTTTGAAAACTGGCACAAGACAGGGATGCCCTCTCTCACCACTCCTATTCAACATAATGTTGGAAGTTCTGGCCAGGGCAATCAGGCAGGAGAAGGAAATAAAGGGTATACAATTAGGAAAAGAGGAAGTCAAATGGTCCCTGTTTGCAGATGACATGATTGTATATCTAGAAAACTCCATTGTCTCAGCCCAAAATCTCCTTAAGCTGATAGGCAACTTCAACAGTCTCAGGATACAAAATTGATGAGCAAAAATCACAAGCATTCTTATACACCAATAACAGACAAACAGAGAGCCAAATCATGAGTGAACTCCCATTCACAATTGCTTCAAAGAGAATAAAATACCTAGGAATCCAACTTACAAGGGACATGAAGGACCTCTTCAATAACTACAAACCACGGCTCAATGAAATAAAAGAGGATACAAACAAATGGAAGAACATTCCATGCTCATGGGTAGGAAGAATCAATATCATGTAAATGGCCATATTGCCCAAGGTAATTTAAAGATTTTATGCCATCCCCATCAAGCTACCAATGACTTTCTTCACAGAATTGGCAAAAACTACTTTAAAGTTCATATGGAACCAAAAAAGAGCCCGCATTGCCAAGTCAATCCTAAGCCAAAAGAACAAAGCTGGAGGCATCACGCTACCTGACTTTAAACTATACTGCAAGGCTACATTAACCAAAACAGCATGGTACTGGTACCAAAACAGAGATATAGACCAATGGAACAGAACAGAGCCCTCAGAAATAATGCCGCATATCTACAGCCATCTGATCTTTGACAAACCTGACAAAAACAAGAAATGCAGAAACGATTCCCTATTTAATAAATGGTGCTGGGGGAACTGGCTAGCCATATGTAGGAAGCTGAAACTGGATCCCTTCCTTACACCTTATACAAAAATTAATTCAAGATGGATTAAAGACTTAAATGTTAGACTTAAAACCATAAAAACCCTAGAAGAAAACCTAGGCAATACCATTCAGGACACAGGCATGGGCAAGGACTTCATGTCTAAAACACCAAAAGCAATGGCAACAAAAGCCAAAATTGACAAATGGGATCTAATTAAACTAAAGAGCTTCTGCACAGCAAAAGAAACTACCATCAGTGTAAACAGGCAACCTACAGAATGGGAGAAAATTTTTGCAATCTACTCATCTGACAAGGGGCTAATATGCAGAATCTACAATGAACTCAAACAAATTTACAAGAACAAAACAAACAACCCCATCAAAAAGTGGGCAAAGGATATGAACAGACACTTCTCAAAAGAAGACATTGATGCAGCCAAAAGACACATGAAAAAATGCTCATTATCACTGGCCATCAGAGAAATGCAAATCAGAACCACAATGAGATACCATCTCACACCAGTTAGAATGGCGATCATTAAAAGTCAGGAAACAACAGGTGCTGGAAAGGATGTGGAGAAATAGGAACATTTTTACACTGTTGGTGGGACTGTAAACTAGTTCAACCATTGTGGAAGTCAGTGTGGCAATTCCTCAGGGTTCTAGAACTAGAAATACCATTTGATCCAGCCATCCCATTACTGGGTATATACCCAAAGGATTATAAATCATGCTGCTATAAAGACACATACACAAATATGTTTATTGTGGCACTATTCACAATAGCAAAGACTTGGAACCAACCCAAATGCCCAACAATGATAGACTGGATTAAGAAAATGTGGCACATGTACACCATGGAATACTATGCAGCCATAAAAAATGATGAGTTCATGTCCTTGGTAGGGACATGGATGAAGCTGGAAACCATCATTCTCAGCAAACTATTTCAAGGACAAAAAACCAAATACCACATGTTCTCACTCATAGGTGGGAATTGAACAATGAGAACACATGGACACAGGAAAGGGAACATCACACACCAGGGCCTGTTGCTGGGGGGTGGGAGTGGGGACGGATAGCATTAGGAGATATACCTAATGCTAATGACGAGTTAATGGGTGCAGCACACCAACATGGCACGTGTATACATATGTAACTAACCTGCATGTTGTGCACATGTACCCTAAAATTTAAAGTATAATAAAAATAAAAGAAGGAATCTTAAAAGCAGCAAGATAAAAGAAACAAATCACATACAATGGAGCCCCAATATGTCTGGCAGGAGACTTTACAGTGGAAATCTTACAGGCCAGGAGAGCATAGCATGACATACTTAAATTACTTAAGGAAAAAAAATTATCCTAGAGTAGTATATCTGGCAAAAATATTCTTCAAGCATGAAGGAGAAATAAAGTCTTTCTCAGAGAAACAAAAGCTGAGGGATTTCATCAACACCAGACCTATCCTACAAGAAGTATTAAAGGGACTACTCCCATCTGAAGAAAATGACATTAATGAACAATAAGAAATCATCCGAAGGTCCAAAACTTACTGGTTATGGTAAGTACACAGAAAAACACAGCATATTATAACAGTGTAACTGTGGTGTGTAAACTACTCTTATCTTAAGCAGAAAGACTAAAAAGTGAACCAATAAAAATAATAACTACAACAACTTTTCAAGACATGGACAGTAGAAGATATAAATAGAAACAAAAAGTTAAAAAGCAGAGGGATGGAGTTAAAATGTGGAGTTTTTATTAGTTTTCTTTTTGCTTGTTTGTTTATGCAAACAATGTTAAGTTGTTATCAGCTTAAGATAATGGGTTATAAGACAGTATTTGCAAGCCTCATGGCACCCTAAATCAAAAAACATATAATGGATACAGAAAGAATAAAAAGCAAGAAATTAAATCATACTAGCAGAGAAAAATCACCTTCATTTTATGGCTATAAGTTCCTACATTAAAAAAGAAGAAAGACTTCAAATCAACAATCTAACAATATATCTTAAAGACCAAAGAAACAAAAGCAGGAGCAAACCAAATGCAAAATTAGTAGAAGAAAAGAAATAATAAGGATCAGAGCAGAAATAAATGAATTCAAAATGAAGAAAACAGTACAAAAATCAACAAAACAAAAAGTTGATTTTTTTTGTAAAAATAAACAACATTGACCAATCTTTAGTGAGATTAATGAAAAAAAAAGAGGGAAGACTCAAATAAAATCAGAGATGAAAAAGTAGACCTTACAACTGATACCACAGAAATTCAAAGTATCATTAGCAGGTACTAAGAGCAACTATATATCAATACATTGGAAAATAAAGAAGAAATGAACAAATTCCTGGACACATGCAACCTACCAAGAGTCAACCATGAAGAAATCCAAAACCTGAACGGACTAGTAACAAGTAACAAGATTACAAGATTGAAGCATTAATGCAAAGTTACCCAGAAAAAAACAAAAAAAAGCCTGGGACCTCATGGCTTCACTGCTGAGTTCTACCAAACATTTAAAGAAGAACTAGTATCAATCCTACTTAAACTATTCTGAAAAATAGAGGAGGAAGAAATACTTCCAAACTCATTCTGTGAAGCCAGTATTACTCTGATACCAAAACCAGACAAAGACACAGCAAAAGAAGAAAATTACAGGCCAATATCTCTGATGAATATTGATGAAAAAATCCTCAACAAAATATTAGCAAACCAAATTAAACAACACATTGAAAAGATCATTCATCATGACCAAGTGAGATTTACCCCTGGGATGCAAGGATGGTTCAACATATGCAAATCAATCAATGGGATACATCAGATGAACAGAATGAAGGTTAAAAACCATATGGCCATTTCTATTGATGCTGAAAAAGCATTTGATAATATTCAACATCCCTTTATGATAAAAACCCTAAGAAAGCTGGGTATAGAAGGAACATACCTCAACATAATAAAAGCCATGTATGGCAGACCCATAGCAGGCATCATATTGAATTGAGAGAAACTGAAAGTCTTCACTCTAAGATCTGTAACAAGACAAGGATGTCTACTTTCACCTAGCTAGAGCAATCAGACAAGGGAAAGAAACCAAGCGCATCCAAATTGGAAAGGAAGAAGTCAAATTATCTTTGTTTGCAGATTATGTTATCTTATATTTGGAAATACCTAAAGACTACAGCAAATTATTCAGTACAGCACAGAAAATTATTCAGTAAAGATGCAGGATACAAAATCAACATACAATAATCAGTAGCATTTTTATATACCAACAGTGAACAATCTGAAAAAGAAATGTAACAAGTAATTCCATTTATAATAGCTAGAAATAAAATAAAATATCTAGGAATTAATGTAATGAAAGAAGTGGAAGATCTTTATAGTAAAAACTATAAAACAGCTGATGTAAGAAATTAAATAAGATACAAAAAAAGCAAAGATATTCCATGTTCATGAATTGGAAGAATCAATACTGTTAAAATGCCCATACTACCCAAGGCAATCTACACATTCAGTGGAACCCCTATCAAAATAACAATGATATTCTTTACAGAAATATAAAAAAATCTTAAAATTTATAAGGAACCATAAAAGACCCAGAAGAATCAAAGCTTTTCCAAACAAAAACAACAGAATTAGAAGAATCACATTACCTGACTTTATACTACTAAGCTATAGTAACCAAAACAGCATGGTACCGGCATAAAAACAGACACATAGATCAGCAGAGCAGAATAGAGAGCCCAGAGTTAAATCCGTACATCTATAGTGAACTAAGTTTTGGGAAAAGGTGCAAAGAACATACAGTGGGGGAAAGAGCAGTCTCGTTAATAAATGGTGCTAGGAAAACCGGATATCCATATGCAAAAGAATGAAACTAGACCCCCTATTTCTTGCTATATACAAAAATCAAATAAAAATGGATTAAAAACTTAAATCTAAGACCTTAAACTATGAAACTACTGAAAGCAAACATTAAGGAAATTCTCCAGGATACTGGACTGGGCAAAGGTTTCTTGAATAATACCCCACAAGGACAGACAACCAAAGCAAAAATGGACAAATGGGATCACATCAAGTTAAAAATCTTCAGCACAGCAAAGGAAACAATCAACAAAGTGAAGACACAATGCACAGAATGGGAGAAAATATTTGCAAACTACCCATCTGACAAGGGATTAATAACCAGAATATATAAGGAGCTCAAACAACTCTACAGGAAAAAAATCTAATAATCTGATTAAAAAATGGGTAAAATGTCTGAATAGACATTTTGCAAAAGAAAACATACCAATGGCAAACAGGTATATGAAAAGGTGTTCAACATCACTGATAATCAGGGAAATGCAACTAAAAAATACAGTGAGATATCATTTCACCCCAGTTAAAATGGCTTTTAACCAAAAGCCAAAATAAGAAATGCTGGCAAGGATATGAAGAAAAGGGAACCCTTGTACGCTGTTAGTGGGAATGTAAATTAGTAAAACCACTATGGAGAACAGTTGGAGGTTTCTCAAAAACCTAAAAATAGAGCTACCATACAATGCAGCAATCTTTTTCATAGGTATATACCCCAAAGAAATGGAATCAGTATATGGAAGAAATATCTACACTACCATGTTTGTTGCAGCAGTATTTACAATAGGTAAGATTGGGAAGCCACCTAAGTATCTAGCAACAGGTGAATGGATACAGAAAATGTTGTACATATACATAATATAGTATTCTTCAGCCATAAAAACAATGAGATGCTATTATTTGCACCAACATAGATGAAACTGAAAGTCCTTATGTTAAGTGAAATAGGCCAGGCATAGAAAGACAAACTTCACATATTCTCACTTATTTGTGGAAGCTAAAAATTATAACAAATGAACTCATGGAGATAGAGAGTAAAAGGATGGTTACTAGAGACTGGGAAGGGTAGTACAGGGTAGTTGGAGGGGTAGTGGAGATGGCTAATGGGTACAAAAAATAGAAATAATGAATAAGACCTAGTACTTATTAACACAAAAGGGTGACTATAGTAAAAAATTACATATACATATATATATACATATATATATATATATATATATATATATATATATAAAATAAAGAGTGTAATTGGATTGTAACACAAAGGATAAATGCTGAGGTGATAGATACCCCCATTTACCCTGATGTGATTATTACACATTGCATGCCTATATCAAAATATTTCATGTAGATAGGCTGGATAAATAAAATGTGGTACATATACACCATGGAATACTATACAGCCATAAAAAGGAATGAAATCATGTCCTTTGCAGGAATATGGGTGGAGCTGGAAACCATTATCCTCAGCAAACTAACACAGTAACAGAAAACCAAACAACACATGTTCATACTTATAAGTGGGAGCTGAACAATGAGAACACATGGACACAGGGAGGGGAACACACACTGGGGCCTGTCAGGGAGTGGGGTGGGGTGAGGGCAAACATTAGAAAAAATAGCTTATACATGCTAGACTTAATACCTAGGTGATGGGTTGATAGGTATGGCAAACCACCGTGGCACACATTTACCTATGTAACAAACTTGCACGTGCTTAAATTTTAAGTTAACCCAGAACTTAAAATTAAAATTTAAGAAAACATATTTCAGCCAGGCTCTGTGGCCTACGCCTGTAATCCCAACACTTTGGGAGGCCGAGGTGGGCAGATCATGAGGTCAGGAGATCGAGACCATCCTGGCTACTAAAGATACAAAAAATTAGCCAGGCGTGGTGGCAGCCGCCTGTAGTCCCAGCTACTTGGGAGGCTGAGGCAGGAGAATGGCATGAACCCAGTAGGCGGAGCTTGCAGTGAGCTGAGATCGCGGCGCTGCACTCCAGCCTGGGCGACAGAGTGAGACTCCGTCTCCAAAAAACAAACAAAATAACATATTTCATATAGCCCGTAAATATATACACCTACAATGTACCCACAAAAATTAAAAATTAAAATGAAAAGCCCCAAAACCCCAATAAGTGTTTATGGTATTTGGAAAATACAAATAAGTACGCAGAATAAATCAGTCATATTTCCAGTATTAGACATAACCATGTTTACACATTTTTCTTTTTTTTGAGACGGAGTCTGGCTCTGTCACCCAGGCTGGAGAACAGTGACGTGATCTCGGCTTACTGCAAGCTCCGCCTCCTGGGTTCACACCATTCTCCTACCTCAGCCTCCCGAGCAGCTGGGACTAGCCCGCCACCTCCCCTGGCTAATTTTTTGTATTTTTAGTAGAGACAGGGTTTCACCATGTTAGCCAGGATGGTCTCGATCTCCTGACCTCGTGATCCAACCACCTCAGCCTCCCAAAGTGCTGGGATTACAGGCTTGAGCCACTGCACCCAACCCCACATTTTTCATTTTTATAAAATTGTTGTTCCAGCAGGTACATGGGCATGATCACAAATATTCATCCCAACCTAAGAAGCTCAGGAGTAGAAGTCAGTGGTTGCAACTGCTCCCAGGCAAGAGGCATGCCAGAGAAGGTCATGTCTTCTTTGAATACAGTCATTTGTTGCTTAACAATGGGCCAACAATCTGAGAAATGTCATTAGGTGATTTCATCGTTGTGTGTACATTATGGAGTGAACTTGTACAAACCTAGATGGTGTAGCCTACTACACACCTAGGGTATATGATATAGCCTATTGCTCCTAGGCTACAAACAAATACAGCATGTTTCTTTGCTGAATACCGTAGGCCACTGTAACATAATGGTTAAGTGTTTGTATATCTAAACATAAAACAGGAAGAGTAAAAATATATATTGTAATATTGTGGGACCTCTGTGGTATATGCAATCTTTCATTGACTGAAACATTGTTATGCAATGCATGACTGTGTAAAGGTTTTTCAATTGCATGTGAGAAGGCACTAGCCTGGGTGTCAAGGATCTTTCTAGTCCCAATCCGCCAATTGCTAGCTTTGGGCAAGCCACCTTCTCTCCCTGTTCCTGGTTTCCTGTTTGGTAAAATAGGCCTGTGTTCCTTAAACTCTTTTTTTTAACATTTCCAGAGCATGTCAACTAGCTTTATGCTTTGCATTAAAGTTAACCATTCTCTGGGACTTTAATTCACCTTTTTGTTTATGTCACTATTACATCCCTTAATGGATTGTGTGATTATTATCCTTTTTATGTCTCTCTACCCCACTCTGCTGTGAGCTGTTTGAGGTCAGAGACTGTCCTACATATTTCCTGTGTTCCAAGGACCTAGCACATGTCTCGCATGTAATAGTTGCTCAGCAAATACTTGTTGAATATGAGTGATATGGTTTGGCTGTGTGTCCACCCAAATCTCATCTTGAATTGTAGCTCCCATAATTCCTTCATGTTGTGGGAGAAATCCAGTGGGAGATAATTTAATCATGGGGGCAGTTTCCCCCATACTGTTCTCATGGTAATGAGTAAGTCTCACAAGACCTGATGATTTTATAAGGGGAAACCCTTTCTCTTGGCTCCTATTCTCTTGTCTGCTGCCATGTGAGACATGCCTTTCACCTTCCACCAACATTGTGAGGCCTCCCCAGCATGTGGAACTGTGAGTCCATCAAAACTCTTTCTTTTGTAAATTGCCAGTCTTGGGTATGTCTTTATCAGCAGTGTGAAAACAGACTAATACAATGAGATTTCCAATTAAAATTTATTTCACCAATGCCATTTAATTATTTCCTGCTGGTTTATCTGTATGTCAGTAGTCAGTAGCATCCTTTAAAAAAATTTGACTTTCATTTTAGATACGGGGATACATGTGCAGGTTTATTACATGGTATACTGTATCCAGGTAGTGAGCATAGTACCCAATAGGTTGTTTTTCAACACATACTCCTCTTCCCACCTCCGCCCTTCCCCTGACCAGTAGTCAGCAGTGTCTATTGTTCCCATGTTTATGTCCATGTGCACTCAATGTTTAGCTCCAATTTATAAGTGAGAACGTGCAGTATTTGTTGTTTTGCTCCTGAGTTAATTAGCTTAGAATCACGGCCTCCAGCTTCATCCACTTTGCTGCAAAGAAAATGATTTTATTCTTCTTTATGGCTGCATAGTATTCCATGGTATAAACGTACCACATTTTCTTTATCCTGTTCATTGTTGATGGGCACCTAGGTTGGTTCCATGTCTTTGTTATTGTGAGTAGCATGGCAATGAACATATGAGTGTATGTGTCTTTTTTTGTATAACTCTCTATTTTCCTTTGGGTATATACTCAGTAATGGTATTCCTGAGTTGAATGGTAGCTCTGCTTTAAGTTTTGAGCAATCTCCAAACTGCTTTCCACAGTGGTTGAACTAATTTACCTTCCCACCAGCAGTGTACAAGCATTCCCTTTTTGTTGCGGGAAGTCAGGGACCCCGAACAGAAGGACCAGCTGGAGCCATGGCAGAGGAACGTAAATCGTGAAGATTTCATGGACATTTATCACTTCCCAAATTAATACTTTTATAATTTCTTATGCCTGTCTTACTTTAATCTCTTAATCCTTTTATCTTCGTAAGCTGAGGATGTACGTCTCCTCCGGATCACTATAATTGTGCTAACTGTACAAATTGATTGTAAAATATGTGTTTGAATATGAAATCAGTGCACCTTGAAAAAGAACAGAATAACAGCGATTTTTAGCGAGGGAAGACAACCATAAGGTCTGACTGCCTGCAGGGTAGGGCAAAAAGAGCCATATTTTTCTTCTTGCAGAGAGCCTATAAATGGACATGCAAGTAGGAGAGAGATCACTAAATTCTTTTCCTAGCAAGGAATATTAATATTAAGACCCTGGGAAAGGAATTGCATTCCTGTGGGGAAGTCTATAAACGGCCGCTCTAGGAGTGTCTGTCTGATACAGTTGAGATAAGGACTGAAATATGCCCTGGTCTCCTGCAGTACCCTCAGGCTTACTAGGATTGGGAAATGCCAGCATGGTAAATATTTGGTCAGATCGGTTCTCTGCTCTCAAACCCTGTTTTCTGTTAAGATGTTTATCAAGACAATATGTGTGCCACTGAACACAGACCCTTATCAGAAGTTCTGCCTTTTGCCCTGGTCCTGTTTCCTCAGAAGCACGTGATCTTTGTTCTCCTTTTTGCCATTTGAAGCATGTGATCTTTGTGACCTACACCCTGTTCCTACACCCCCTCCCCTTTTGAAATCCTTAATAAAAACCTGCTGATTTTGCAGCTCAGGTGGGCATCATGGTCCTACCAATATGTGATGTCACCCCCAGAGGCCCAGCTGTAAAATTCCTCTCTTTGTACTCTTTATTTCTCAGCCGGCCAACACTTACAGAAAATAGGAAGAACCTACGTTGAAATATTGGGGGCAGGTTCCCCTGATACCTTTTCTCTTCAACCTTGCCTGCATCTGTTTTTTAACTTTTTAATTATAACCAGTCTGACTGGTGTGAGATGGTATCTAATTGTGGTTTTGATTTGGATTTCTCTGATTAGTGATGTTGAGCATTTTTTCATACCTTTGTTGGCCATGTGTATGGCTTCTTTCAAAAGGTGTCTGTTCATGTCACTTGCCTAGTTTTTAATGAGATTGTTTCTTGCTTGTTAAGTTACATATAAATTCTGGATATTAGACCTTTGTCAGATGCACAGTTTACAAATATTTTATCCCATTCTGTAGGTTTTGAATTTTTGGTTTGTTGCAATGGCTTTTGGGGACTTAGCCAAAAATTCTTTGCCAAAGCCAATGTTGAGAAGGGCATTTCCTAGGTTTTCTTCTAGGATTTTAATAGCTTGAGGTCTCAAATTTAAATCTTTAATCCATCTTAATTTTTGTATAGGGTGAAAGGTAAGAGTCCAGTTTCATTCACCTGCATATGGCTAGCCAGTTATCCCAGCACAATTTATTGAAAAGCAATTCATTTATTAAATAGGGAATCCTTTCCCCATTGCTTGTTCTTCTCAGGTTTGTCAAAGGTCAGATAGTTGCAGATATGTGGCGTTATTTCTGAGGGCTCTGTTCTGTTCCATTGATCTATATCTCTGTTTTGGTACAAGAACCATGCTGTTTTGGTTACTGTAGCCCTGGCTAGCCATATGTAGAAAGCTGAAACTGGATCCCTTCCTTACACCTTATACAAAAATTAATTCAAGATGGATTAAAGACTTACACGTTAGACCTAAAACCATAAAAACCCTAGAAGAAAACCTAGGCATTACCATTCAGGACATAGGCATGGGCAAGGACTTCATGTCTAAAACACCAAAAGCAATGGCAACAGAAGCCAAAATTGACAAATGGGATCTAATTAAACTAAAGAGCTTCTGCACAGCAAAAGAAACTACCATCAGAGTGAACAGGCAACCTACAAAATGGGAGAAAACTTTTGCAACCTACTCATCTGACAAAGGGCTAATATCCAGAATCTACAATGAACTTAAACAAATTTACAAGATAAAAACAACCCCATCAAAAAGTGGGCGAAGGACATGAACAGACACCTCTCAAAAGAAGACATTGATGCAGCCAAAAGACACATAAAAAAATGCTCATCATCACTAGCCATCAGAGAAATGCAAATCAAAACCACAATGAGATACCATCTCACACCAGTTAGAATGGCAATCATTAAAAAGTCAGGAAACAACAGGTGCTGGAGAGGATGTGGAGAAATAGGAACACTTTTACACTGTTGGTGGGACTGCGAACTAGTTCAACCATTGTGGAAGTCAGTGTGGCGATTCCTCAGGGATCTAGAACTAGAAATACCATTTGATCCAGCCATCCCATTACTGGGTATGTACCCAAAGGACTATAAATCATGCTGCTATAAAGACACATGCACACGTATGTTTATTGCGGCACTATTCACAATAGCAAAGACTTGGAACCAACCCAAATGCCCAACAATGATAGACTGGATTAAGAAAATGTGGCACATATACACCATGGAATACTATGCAGCCATAAAAAATGATGAGTTCATGTCATTTGTAGGGACATGGATGAAATTGGAAATCATCATTCTCAGTAAACTAACGCAAGGACAAAAAACCAAACACCGCATGTTCTCACTCATAGATGGGAATTGAACAATGAGAACACATGGACACAGGAAGGGGAACATCACACTCTGGGGACTGTTGTGGGGTGGGGGGAGGGGGGAGGGATAGCATTAGGAGATATACCTAATTCTAAATGATGAGTTAATTGGTACAGCACACCAGCATGGCACATGTATACATATGTAACTAACCTGCACATTGTGCACATGTACCCTAAAACTTAAAGTATAATAATAAAAAAAAAAGCAATTCGTTGTTTTTGTCAGCCTTATCAAAAATTAGATGGTTGTAGGTTTATGGTTTTATTTCTGGTTTTTCTGTTCTGTTTGATGGAGCTACATGTCTGTGTTTGTGCCAGTACCATGCTGTTTTGGTTACTGCACGCTTATAGTATGGCTTGAAATTGGGTAGTTTGATTCCTCTGGCTTTATTCTTTTTGCTCAGGATTGCTATTTGCACTCTTTTTTTGGTTTCATATGCGTTTTAGAATAGTTTAGAATCGTTTTTTCCTAATTCTGTGAAGAGTGACATTGGTAGGTTGATAGGAATAGCATTGAATCTCTAAATTCCAATAGGGAAGTATGGCCATATTAATGATATCAGTTCTTCCAATCCATGAGTACGTAACATTTTTCATTTATGTCATCTCTGATTTCTTCCAGTAGTCTTTGTAGTTTTCCTTTTAGCAATCTTTCATCTCATTCGTTAGCTGGATTTCTGGGTATTTCACTTTTTTTGTGGTATTTTAAATGCAATCATATTCTTCGACTCTTAGCCTAGATGTTATTAATGTATAGAAACGCTACTGATTTTTGTATATTGATTTCATATCCTGCAACCTTGTTAAACTCATTTATCAGTTCTAGTTGCCTTCTGGGGGAGTCCTTAGGGTTTTCTAAGTATAGAATGATATTGTCAGCAAATAGAGATAATTTGACTTCTTCCTTTCCTATCCGGATGCCTTTTATTTCTTTCTCTTGCTGATTGCTCTGACTAGGACTTCCAGTACTCTGTTGATAGGAGTGGTGGGAGTGGGCATCCTTGTCTTGTTCCAATTCTAAAGGGGAATGTTTCCAGGTTTTGCCTGTTCAGTATGATGTTGGCTGTGGATTTTATAGATGGCTCTTGAGGTATGTTCCTTCTATGCCTACTCTGTTGAGGGCTTTTATCATGAAGGGATGTTGGATTTTATCAAAAGCTTTTCTGCATCTATCGAGGTTATGTGGTTTTTGCTTTTAATTCTGTTTATGTGGTGAATCATATTTATTGATTTATATATGTTGAATCAAATTGCATATTTTCTTTAATGTTCTATTTTTAAAAATATTCCCAAATGCACTCGAGCAATTCACTTCTTAACTTTTTTAATTGCTGTGTGTTTGTATAGGCATTGTGACAGTTGACTTTATGCCTTGGAAGTGAAATGTTCAATACATGTGTGCTGAATAAATACATGTTTTCTGTATATGGCAAATTGTAATAGTGACACCAGATCAAATAGGTTTAAGATTTTTTTGAGCCTTAAAAACCAATGCTTTGCTTTTTCAAGTGTGCTCCCAGCTGTAGATTGATTTGAGCCTTACTTTTTACTTGTATTTATAGGCTATCCATAGAGAAAACACTGTTGATTTCATGTAATCTATGTTCATTAGAAATTGAGCCAAATTTTTATGTATGAAACTCTGGATTTTTTTTTTAAGTTGAGATTTTGATAGTTCCATTATCTGTAGAGTAGATTTTTATTGCATATTTGACAACTACGTCACTGGAAGCTCTAGAGTAGAAATGAAGACAGCAAATATAATGGAATCTAGAAGGATCACTGACAAGTGAAAATTTTACCTGAGCTTGTGCTGGCCTTCAACCTCGGACTCTTATTTTAGTTAATCTGACATCTCCAAACAATACCTTTGGTTAATTTTATTCTCATTCTCTCTATCCCTGTTTCTGTATGCCTCTTCTCAATCTCTCTCTCTCTCTCTCATACATACACAAACACACACACACACACACACACACACACAGAGTGGACAGAATAGTGTAGTGGTTAAAGACAGACTTTGAAATTGGGCAAGCTTATATTAACTCTCATCTTTGTCACTTATTTTTATATTTGCTCTGTCACTTTCAACACGCTTTTTTTTTTTCTTTTAGATTCACTCAGCCCAAAGTTCTTTATTCATTCAATGGAGAAAATAATAGTATTTCTTAGTTTGTTGTTGAGCCTAGTAAATGTGGTGACTCAGGTAAACTTCTTAGCACAGTGGCTGGCATATAGTAAGTTCTTAATTAATGGTGACTCTACCTAGCATAGAATTTTCCTTGTTTAACTGCACAGATCACTTCTGATACCTTATGATGAATAAGATTACTGAACTTTCCTAGTTTCCTCTTCTGGCAGAACACATTACCCCTACTTAAGCTTTAAATAAGCAGGAGACTTTCCTAAGTTAGGATTTCAGGAGATTGCCAAGTACATAATACTTCATTTGTGGGAAAATACAGATGAAAATCTTGAAACAAGAGAAGAATTTTGGGAAGGTCAAGTAGGTTCAATAGTGTTCAGGCACTAAAAGCTGTAATTACTAATTATGAGGTAACACCTCAGGCTTCCTTTTAAAGTCTGCTTATTTCTAGTTTGTAAACAATTCTAACAAGCATGAATCTACCCCATCTCTAAGCAAAAAGCCCTTCTGGAATAGCAGATAAGAAGAAAAGACAATTCATTGTGAAAAGTGCTGAATACCTCCTTACCAGGGAAGAGATTGAAGAAACAAACATATAAATTTATTTTAAAAAGAACAAAATTGTTTACAGTTCTATAGGATGTCAAGAGGTAATAGGCAATAAAGAGTTCCTTGATCAAGATGTGTGGAAAACACTGGTTTGAATAAAGTTAAATTTCTCACTTTTCTTTATGGCTTCCCAGAGTCTCTATCTCTAAAAACGAAAGTAGGTGAGTAAAGTATACTGGAATTTCCAATCTAACTTGAACACAGAATCCTTTTATAGAACAATAATGGGAGCTGTGTTCCACAAAAGCCAGTTTGCTTCTCTGGTCTTAGGCCTTTGTTCAAGGGGTCAAATAGCCCAGCATTTGTCAACAAGTAATCAGAACATCCAAGCAGTATAGCAATAATAATCATAATAATGCCACAGAGCAGTATGAGATCACATTGTGTTTATTATCACCTTTTAAAATAAGCCAACACCTTCAAACTGGCAATTTTACCTTCAGGAAATCAGCCTTAGAAATACTCATAAAACTCTGGCTACCTTTGTAAGATTGTTCATGACTACAGTATTTGTAGTATTATGTATTTAATAACTAAATGTCCATCAGTAAGAAATTGCCTGGATAAGTGATGGCTCAACCAATATAACAAAATACTATATAAATACTCAAAAGAATAAGGTAGTTTTATATGTACTAATAGGGAAAAATGCCCTCAACACATTGTTGATAAAAAGTGTTAAGTTGTAGAGAGAGTATATAGCAAGGTATTTATTTTAAAATTTACACACATATGCCCACACTGAAACAAATGAATGAATAAGGGTGTGTGAATGTGTACACACTTGGATGTATCTGGAGAACAAGGAGACAGGCTTTCAATTTTTACTGTATAACCTGTGCTTCTAGAATGTAGACTGCTCTTAAGATACATTTGCTCCCACTTGTCAAAGAGATAAAGCTAAATAAGCCACACGATTATACTCTAAAAAAACCCTCATCTTCCTGACGACACAAAAATACCTAAATATGATAAACAGAGAGAGAGAAGCTACTCCTAGAGAACACTGCCACAGCTGTATCATCCCGGAGGGCACGGCACAAGAAGAACAAAACCTGCCATAGGTGGGGGTAAGGAGAAACAAGCCCAATTTTTATCAATCTTTTATGGTCAGGCATGGGCTGGCATGACACATTAGAATCCTGGGCAAATCTAGCCCAAAGTAAGTCTGCAGTCACTCGTCACTCTCCAACCCTTTTCATGGCATGTGTGCCAAGTGCGTAGTGTTAATGTGCCAAACTCTGGAGTAGGGCAGGGAATCAGAGAGAGATTTTCTCTGAGGAGCCTGGGAACTTTACTAAATATAAAGCATCAGTCTACTGAAGGCTGGTGGCAGGCTAGTATGATGGAGAGATTTAACAAGGCATAGAAAACTGTTTACAGAACTAGAGAGCAGAGAGAAAATATACTACCTCAAAAGTTTATGGTTGTGCTATAAGAGGAGAGAGCAAGAGAAATCTCATACAACTTGGACAGCTGAAAGCTGGGTTGTAGAATACAGGGGAATCTTGAAACTATCACTAATAATTAGGTTCTAAGACCCAATGAAGGTAAAGCCCTAATGCTGCCTTCAAATTGTTTGATGGTAGTGGTGAAGTGAATTTAAATAAAGCTGCAGCAAATCTCAGATTCAGCTCAGTTATAGATTAGATGATTAGATTGACTCAACTCTCCACCTCAGCTGTCTGAATAGAAAGGGATATGCTCTTTTCAAGGAGTTAATATTTATTTCATCCTGTTTGATTTTCCCACACAATGTCCAGCATACAACCAAAAATTATGAGACAGGCAAAGGAGCAGGAAAAGTTGGTTCATAATCAAGTGAAAAAATAGTCAATTGTAGAAGTACAGACGTTAGAATTAGAAGACAAATATTATAAAATAACTATGATTACAATATGTGAAAGGATCTAGTGGAGGAACTGGACAATTTATAAACAGATGGAGAAATTTAGCTGAGAAATGAAACCTTATAAGACAGAACCCTATTTTTACTTTGTGTGATGTTTTTAAATCAATTACATTTGGCAGTGAGAAGACGCGTTTTAAATCTTAAAAATGACTTTAAAAGCATATTTCCAAATGTTTTCATGCAAAATAGTTAAATTATAAATTAAATACTTTAGAGGGAAACCTCAACTTTATGGGAAAACTTTGTTATGAATATAATATATGCCCTGTGGTTTCCTGGCAATTTTTCTACCATACTTGTGGGCAGTCATACAACATGAATCATCTAATAGACTCCTGGTTGTTAAAATCATAACCAAAAGGCTGTGCATGGTGGCTCATGCCTATAATTCCAGTTCTTTGGGAGGCTGAGGTGGGTGGATCACTTGAGGCCAGGAGTTTGAGAACAGCTTGGCCAACAGACAAAATCCCATCTCTACTAAAAATACAAAAAATTAGCCAGGTGTGGTGGTATAAGCCTGTAATCCTAGCTACTTGGGAGGCTGAGGCATGAGAATCGCTTGAACCTGGGAGGTGGAGGTTGCAATAAGCCGAGATCATGCCACTGCACTCCAGCCTGGGAGACATAGCAAGACCCTGTCCCCAAAATAAAATAATAAAATAAAATAAAATGGTGATCAAACCAACAGTGCTTCTAATAGGGCATAACATCTGATTCTTATGCTCCTAGGGTAATGAGCATGCTGTCTAGGGTGATGAAGTTCAGTCTTGGGCTGCATGAGGCAGATATAAATAGAGGTTGATTTTACATATATCATTAATGGATCTGTACAAAAGGATGTGCCTTTTTCAGGGCAACATTCTTTATGAAATGCTATTGATGGAGATAAATATGGATAAAACTGAAACGTACAGATGGGCCAATAGGGAGAACCATGCTTAAAATTTAAGGAAATAAAACCTTAATTACGGGCTCAAGTGACAATACTTCTTTTGGTTCACAATGTGCTTTCAGACACTCACATACAAATTCTCATCAGGCTGAGAAATTTTTGGTTACACTCCTTGTGGTATACGTTTCTTCCCCACAGATTTCTAGCCAAAGTATGGACTAATTAACATGACAGGCTTTTTCCTTGAGGACTGAGGATCTGTAAGACCTTGGTATCTTCAATTCTCCTTAAGGTGCTGTCCAGAATGAACTTAGTCTGTATGCATCTATAGCACCCCTTGACCAGATGTTTATGCCTGCAACATTTGCCATCTATACCACCTTAGTCTTATGAGAACTTATTTTGTGTGTTCCATTGAAACTGAGAATTCAGGTTTTTCTGGAAAAGTAGTGACAGCTGAGATATAGATTACTGATGAGGCTGAAGTTCCTCTGAACACATGCTCAGTGGGAGAATGTTCAAAAGGAATGTTGTGGAGCTGAAACAGAGATAATTCCTCAGCAAGATTAAAAAAAAAATCTGTAAGAGCTCTGTTTCTCACACCCTGGACTAAGATGTGACAAAAAAATAACTCGAGATAGAGAGACAAAGCAGCAAAATTGTTGGGTTGAGTTGTCAGTTCAAATTCCAAACACTGGCTCAGAAATGGACTGTGCTTGTTGAAGAACAAGCTGAGATGTATAGCTTGTGGTGTTTTGTTGTTGTCGGAAGAATGTTTAGCTTTTGCTTTCCAGTCATCTACAGGGGAGAGGGGAGTAGAAAATGACAAGTAGAAATGGAAAGAGGAGCATATGGTCATCTCTATCTGCTGCCCAAAGTTTTATAGAGCATGTTGTTCTCTGGGACCTCCCACCTGCATTGGGAATAAGCTCATGTGCTACTTTTGGATCTTGACCCACTGGCTTGAATTCAGCTTCTCTCTCACCTCAGGGGTTAAGGATAAAGGCAAGCTTGGGGCACACACAGCATTGTGAGGATAAATATTACCACATCATTTTCAACCAAAGAGACTTTTCCTTTTCCTGATTTCAAAATCTCTGTCAAGCAGCTGTTGCTTATACTGTACATGTTTGTATAATGTCTAGGAGGCAAGTTAGGCATGGCTTAGAATGTTTGGCTTCTAGGTAAAGATTTTTCTTCATGTGTTAGAAATATACAAAAACAGCAGGTCCTTCATGGGGTTTTCTGCCCTCTGATTGGTAGTCACATCCAATTTGATTAAATTGTTCTGGCTTCCTAGTTTGTTTATTTAATAAAATTTGTAATCTTTTATAGGGCCCATTCTTCGAACTTGGTCCCAACTGCTGATATCCTTGGGAGTGGAATGAAAACCATTTCAAAAGGAAGTGAAACAACTCAGAAACAGAAACTCAAATACCACATGTTCTCACTCACAGGTGGAAGCTAAATAAAGTGTTCGCATGGACATAGAGTGGGGAATGATAGACATTAGATTCAAAAGAATGAGGAGGGGAGGGAGGGAGGTAAATGATGAGAGATTATTTAATGAGTACAATGTATATTATTTGGATACACTAAAAGCTGGGACTTCATCACTATGAAATATATCCATATAACAAAATTGCACTTGTACCCCTTCAATTTACACACAGAAAATGACAGTTGGGCAACTAAACCTTGGATGACCACAAAACTCTGTAAATTCATTACTCATTGAAAAAATTTTAAGTTTTTTCATTTTTTTTCACCTCCACAGATGCTTGAATGTGGTAGACATGCTGTAACCTAGTGCTGACTGAATTATTTGTGTAATGTCTGCTTATCAATATGCTAGTTATTGCAGAGGACTAAATGAGATAAAGTTCTCTCTGCTGTGAATGACTGTCACACATATTCTCCTTGTCATTTACATTGCCCTTCCAAAGTTATCTTTCTAAAACTCTAGTCTCATTGCATTATTCTTCACACCCTACATTCTCTTCATTGCTTACTGAATAATACCCTCGGTGAACTACTTGCAAACTATCTTTGCTTCCTTAGCTTTTACCAACAAGGCAGTGAAATTATTTTTCTCCACAAGTTTCCCAGCAAGTTCAGGGTTTCATACATTTGGTCCCTCTGGTTCCTCTGACTCAATCATTCTTTTCCACATATTACACCCATGCATAACCTTCAAAGCTGAGATGAAAAACCACTTCCTTCAAGGAGCCTCCCTTCATACCCAGTCTCTATCCATTTTTTCCTTATATTCCACAGTGTCACAATTCCTTGTAGCTTTTCCCTGAACTGTGAGGTTATGTCAATAGATTCTCCTCCTAGAGCGATCAAATATTCCCTTGCTCAAGCCAAAAATGTATTTTTTTTCTGATATCTCACTTTCCCTTTTCTTAAGGGTTTTGTATTACGACAACCCTTTGCGAAAATCATACTTTGGCTTCTAGGCATATACATACACGATCTTACCACATATTCAGGCAATCAAAGTCTTCCACCTCATCAGTCAGTCCATCATGTTTTCTCATCATTGCTGATTACATTTATCCAACACTACAAATTGTTTGGTTATTATCAGAAAGAGTTTATGGTGCTTTTTTTCCCAACTAGAAAGGTCTTAAAAGCAGATATTACAAAATCAGCTACTATAAATGTGAGTGGGGTGGGTCAGCTACATATTGTTACTATACCTTATATCATACAGAAAATTTAGCTTTTGAAATATTCTCCACAAAATCATAAATGGCTTGAGGTCAAGGGATATATTTAATTCCTCTTAGTACCTGGCATAGTGCCATGCCGTGACCATAACAGGACCTTGTTAAATATTTGTTGAAATGAGTAATTTCTGAAAGGGAAACCCATGTTAGTATTTTTCTTCCTAAAATGTGTTACCATTTTACTTCATGAGAAAGACTCAGCAGAGCTTCTAAAATATAATCAAGATCTCTCTACCAAAATATGATTTTTTTCAGTAAAATCACAACAAAAGGAACACATTTTTAATACTATACTAGTCATTAAAATATCATTTGTTGTAGTTCTCTCTGAAGTTAATAATCCTTTGCAAAGAAGTCATCCTACAGAAAACACAGGAATTGCCTTCAGAGCAGAAATGTAAATAGCTATAATTTATTATCCTGCGTTTTTCAAATATACTACCATCTGCTTTAGCCCTGGAGACCATTTTAAAGTTATTTCCCCATGATCCATCCTCCACCCCATTCTTGCCCTGGAGATACGCCTGTACTTGTTATTAGCTCACCAAGACACAATAACAATTACTGTTCATAAAGGTATTTTATGTCTCATAGAAGTTTGAGCAAATTTATTGGAAGCAAATTCTTTGACATCAGGATTCTGTAATGTAGTTACAGATTGTTGGCATCATTTAGGATTAGGCAATCTCTTACTCATAAACTTTTGCCAGAATTAAAAGATTATGCCGGTACTTAAAAGCCAGCTCCAGTTGTCTTTTCATCTGGCAAAAATCTGAAAGCCCCAGGTTGCTGAACTATACTTCATCAATTCATGACGCCTCTCTTCTCTGCTTTATGTAGCATGAAGTTGGAAAACTACATGGGACAGCTGGTGCTAGACTTCCATTCTGTAGGTTCCTCACATCATACACATTTTACTCATGGGTTCAGAATGTACATTTATCCTAGATTCCTGTTAAAGTAGGTCAGGGAGCATAAGAAAACAGCCCACCTACACCATCAGAAAAACATGTAGATGTAACTTTCAAATTGTGATGTGGAAAGAATCTAGAGAAAAACTTTCACAGACAGGCCTGTCATCTGGTTATCAGGCAGGGCCAACCACTTGCATCTTGAGTGCCAAATCCCATTCCACTTCTGTTCTCTATTTGAGAGCCTCAAAATACTTAAGCCACACCTTTAAGTTTTAGAATTTTAGCTGGACCATTATTTTAATTATGTTAAAAACCATGGAAAATATATTCTTTAGTTGAAAGGACCCATTCAAATATTTTTCTTTGGCCTTCAGAATCTACCTGTGATTTTAATGAATAATGGTTAGTAATGTACATACTTTGAGAAAAAAAAGTCAACCATTATGCTAGACACCAGAGAACGATGTGGAGTAATCTTTTAAATAAGAGGGTTAGGGACATTTTTGATGATGAAATGAAATGAAGGCCAAGACCTGTGATGTCATTTGGACATTTGTCCCTCCAATTCACATACTGAAATGTGATTCCCAGTGTTGGAGGTGGGACCTGGTGGAAGGTGATTGGATCATGGGGGTGGATCCCTCATGAGTGGTTTAGCACCAACCTCTTGGTGATAATTGAGTTCTCAGTTAACATGATATCTGGTTACTTAAAAGAGTCTGGGACCTCCCCCTTCTCCCTCTCTTGCTCCCACTCTTGCCATGTGAGGTGCAAGCTCCTGCTTTGCCTTCCACCATAACTGTAAGCTTCCTAAGGCCCCACCAGAAGCTGAGTAGATGTTGGTGCCATGCTTGTACAGCCTGCAGAACCATACATCAATTAACCCTCTTTTCTTTATAGATTACCTAGTCTCAGGTATTCCTTTATAGTAAAGCAAAAAACTGACTAATACAACCTGAATGAAATGGGATATTGAATTGTGTAAAAATTTTGGGGAAGGGAGAAGGATATTCTGAAGGAGAAAACTCAAGTGTGAAGGACTTCAGATGAGAATATATTTAGGATGACGAAGAAAGTTCAGTTGCTGGAATTCAGTGATTAAGTGCAGAGTGGCAGAAAAAAACCCTTCAGATATGTAGTCAAAAACTATGTTATGAAAAGTCTTATGGGCCATGGCAAAGATATTGGATTTTGTTATGAGAAGGGGTAGCCATTGAAAGCTTTAAAAGCTTAAGTGAGACCAAAAAAAGTCAAGGGTACCACAAAGGTATAAAACTAAACACCAAAACAAAAGCACAAAAACTTCATAATAGCCAAAGGGAAAAGGAAAAGCAAAGGAACATCAGATAGAAAAAACACAGTAAATATAGTGCTTATAGTAATTACAACATAAGATGAGAGGCTTGGCAGTTATATCAATAAACACAAATGAGTTTAACTCACCTATTAAAATAAAAAGATTCTCAAATTGACCCATCAAATTTCAACTCTATGTTGTATATAAGAGACATATCTAAAATATAGCAGTTTTTAAAAAGGCTAAAGATAAAGGAATGGGCAAAAGCATTTGCCTGTTTACTAGGCAAATGAAAACAATAAGGAAGTAGGAACTGAAATCCTCATATTGGACAAAGTAGAAAACAGCATAACAGGAGGCAAAAGATATTTTATAATGCTAAAAACCACATTATAGAATGAAGCTATAACAAAACTCAATAGCATTCATGTACACAGATAATAGGTAAAATATATAATAAGAAAATTTTATTTACAATACCAACAAAAATATTTAGGAGCAAGCACAATAAGATATGTTCAAATGTATATGAAGAAACTATAAATACCTCTGAAAGATGCAAAAGTACATTTGAAAGTGGAAAGATGGCCCTTGTTCTTGTTTAGGATGTCTCAACATAATGAAAATCTCATTTTTCATTATTTTAATATCTGTTAATTATGTTAATTTATAGATTCACCCAAGAAAATATTGACAAGCTTTCTTGTCAAGTTAGATATATTGGGACTAAAGTTCACATGGAAAAATAAATGCATAAGAATAGGTAGAAAAACAGTCACTAGGAAGAGCTATGAAGGGGGTATAGTCCTATTAACACTGTAAAGACTATAATTAAAATAGTGTGGTAGTGGCTCATGAGGATACAAACAGACTAACGGAATAGAAATCTATAGAAATCTAGTATATTAAAAAGGTTGTATCTCAAATCACTAAGGAAAAGATAGTCTTTTAAATAAATGATGTTGGGCAACTGGATAACCATTTTTTCACAAATAGAAAAACAGATTCCTTCTTCATATCATATATAGGAAAATAAATGGATCAGAATTCTAAATGTAAAATAATGTAACTTTACTGCAAGAAAATATTGGTGAGTTCCCCTATATTCTAGGTTTATGAAAAAGTTTTTAGCTGATACTAAAACGTCCAGATGTGATAAAAGATTGATAAACTGACTACATATGGCAAAAATACCAGAAGCAAAGTCAAAAGACAAATGACAAACTGGAAAAGAAGGAAAAATTATCATTCTATAGCAAAATGAACAAAAGAAAAAGAGAGGCAATTTATAAAATAATATAAGCATGGGCCTTGAACATATGAAAAGCTATTTAAGTTAATTCATGTTAAGATAAATGCAAGTTAAAATTCACTGAGATACTATTTCTCACTTAGATGGGCAAAAAATTCAAAGCTTGATGATATATTTCGTTCATAGGGCTGTGGAAAACATGAATTACTGGTAGGCATGCAGATTGGTTGGAATGCAAAATCCTTACTGAGGGAGATTTGGCATCAGTTAATAAAACTATACATGCATCTGTCTTTCATCTCAGCAGCCCATTTCTAGGAATTTATCCTGAAGATACATATATATTTATGAGGCTACTCATTAAAGTAATATCTGTAGGAAACTACCAAAATGTCTGAGCATAGGACACTGATTAAACTATAACCCCATACATTCAATGGAATACAATGCAGTTGTAAACAAAGAATGAGGAAGATCTCTACGAACTGATGTAGAATGACCTCTGGGATACATTGTTAGGTGAAAAAAAAAGCAAATTGCAAAGAAGCTTACATGTTACCTTGTATAAAAGAAAGAAGGAGAAGTAAGAGAATATGTGTACATCTACTTATCTTTACAAAGAGAAACCCAGGAAGTCAATGACAAGAACAACATTGGCTCCCATATGAGGTAGGGGAATGAAGCAGAAGAAATACAGGAGGCAGTGTCACTTTTCTGAGCATATGTTTTTGTATAATTTTGATATTTAGATGTAGTTTAATGTTCTCTATATTCAATAAAAAATTAAATTGACAAAGATGGGAAGGAGAAAAATAAAACTGAAAAATAAACTCAGCTATATTTCAAATAAATAACATAACCTCACTAAAGGGGAGAGGAAGAAGTAACTAACCCAATTAATACAGGGTATTTGACTGTATACTCCTAGTTTTACATAGGATTTCTTTTTATTTAATTTATTATTATTTTTTTAAAGAAGTCTTGCTCTGTCACCTAGGCTGGAGTGCAGTGGCAAGCTCTCAGTTCACTGCAGCATCTGCCTCCTGGGCACAAGCGATTCTACTGCCTCAGCCTCCCAAGTAGCTGGGATTACAGGTGCGTGCCACCATGCCCAGCTAATTTTTGTATTTTTAGTAGAGATGGGGTTTCACCATGTTGGCCAAGGAGGTCTTGAACTCCTGACCTCAGGTGATCCACCCGCCTCGGCCTCCCAAAATGCTGGGATTACAGGCATGAGCCATCGCGCCCGGCCTACAAGGATTTCAAGGGCTCATGAAACATTTATTAAAATAGGCCACAGGCTAGCCATAAAGCAAGTCTCAAAAAAATTTCAAAGACTTGAAATGATAGACATGTTTTCAGACCATAATAGATATAAGCTAGAAATAAGTAACCAAAGGATAACTAAAAAACATTTTCCCCTAAGTTTGAAAACCAAGCAATAACTTCTAAATAACCCATGGACCAAAGAATAAATCAAAATGGAAGTTTCTAAAATATCTTAAATTACATGAAAATGAATATACGGCATATCAAAATGTATGGGATGCACCTAAAGCTATGATTGGGGAAACGATAGCCTTAAATGCCTATATTAGAAAAGAAGAAAGGCTAAAAACCAATTGTTTAAGTATATTTTACAAGAAGATAAAAAAATAAAGAGCGAATGGAACCCAACAAATGTAAACGGAAGAAGGTCAATATAAAAAATATAGCAGAAAGAATTTTAAAAATCCAAAATTTGGTACTATGAAAAAGCTAACTGATAAAACAGAAAAAAGAGAAGAAACAAATAACCAATAACCAAAGGAATGAAGGGAACTTAAGGAATATTAAAAATTCAACTGATATTTTAAAAATAATACCATTGGAAGATATGAGCACATTTGTATCAATAAATTTAAAAATTTATTTAATAATAATTCTTCTAGGATATAGCCCTAGAAAAATAAAGCCTCTTTTTTATAAGAAGAAACAGAAAATCTGAATCATCCTATATTTATTAAAGCAATTGAATTCATTATTTAAAACATTCCCACACACACACACACACAAAAATCAGGGCCCATGTGGCTTGGCTGGTAATTTCTTCCAAGAGCTAAGGAGTACCATCAATCTTATACAAGTTGTTTCAGAAAACATAAAAATAGAAAACACTTCCCAATTTATTTTATGAGGACAGCAGAGCATTGATACCAAAAGCAGATGAACACCTTAAATAAAATGAAAGAAAAATCCAAAAGTATATTATAGGTCAATCTTTTATAAACATAAAAGCAACAATCCTAAACCAAATATTTCCAGACAAATCCAGAGATTGATAGAAAGGCTAATACATAATGACCAGGTGGCATACATTCCAGGAATGCAAGGCTGGCTTCATGTTAGAAAAGCAACTAATATATTTCAACATAAAGAGGTTTAGAAAAAAGAGGAGATAAGTCATATAATCACTTCAATAGAAGTAGCTATGTGTATATGTGGGAACTGGTAAGGGTTAAAGTGAGTTGGGGATATGTTTAGTTTCAGTTTAGTGAAATATTTTTAGTGGTTTGTGGTCAGCCTTGAGTACTTAATTGCCTTACCTACTGAGTACTTACTGAGTAACTAATTGCCAGCTTTCCAAAGGTAGAAATGGCTTCTAGGTATACCCTATTGCCTGCCTCGTTGATTTAGATGTCAACAAAGAGGAGTATCTAAGCAAACACGTAAGTTACTACCAACAGAGCATTGACAAAAAAAAAAAGCTGTTAATGAGTGTTCCAATTCAAAGAGCACTTAAGCTTACCATGCAACTTAAAAGGAACTGAAAATCTGCAGTTCATTAAAAAAAATCTGATAGAGATTTCCCCAAATTTGACAAATTGTGAACCTAAAGAAACTTTTCTAAACTATATTTAAAAAGTTTTGATCAAACATACTGTAACAAAGACCAATCTATCTCTCCATAAAAAATGAGAATACAAAATTGTTTTGAAGGGGCAATTCAAGAATGTCCAGCAAAAGGACATAGGAACAAAACAATGCAGGGGTGTGATGGGCAGTGAATTCATATTATTTTTCTCAAGTTTTTTTCATTTTGTAATATTTGGGGTTATTTTTTAGCTTTAAAATTTTATACTTTTCTGTAATTTATTTTCTCATTTTTAATAATTACTCATTTTAAACTTAAATTTGTTTAGTATTATTTTCTTAAGTAGAATCCCCAAAATTGAATTAAGCTTTACAAAGTACAAAAATCTGTATATGCCTACATTTACTAGTATTAAAATAACTTCAAATATTAAGGGTTATTTTGAGTAAAACAACTGATACTCTCCAACAACCATGGTGGGAATGTAAATTGGAATAATTAATTTAGAAAACTGTTTAGCAGTATCAGTTAAAGCTCAGCAACTTCACTCCTAAATACATACCCAACAGAAATATATATATATACACACACACACATATATGTGCTAAAAGATATGCCAAAAACTGTTCATAGGAACATTCTTCATAATTGCCCCAACCTGGAAACAATCCAAATTTCCATCAAGAGTAGAAAATGTACGTAAGTTGTGGTGTACTCACATGATAGAAAACCACACACAAATGAAAATTAACAAATGACTATTCCATGAAGCAACAAAAATGAATCTCATAATGAGATTTCTCAAACTTTCTTAGCTCCCTTAGTGTCGTAGGAATTTTTTCACAGGTGCCACCACACCAAAAGAAATACATAATAGTTCTGATTATGAAGTAGTAAGGTCCCAATAACTTAATAAATACTTTGTTTTTTTTTTTTTGAGAAACAGTGTTGGTCTGTCGCCTAGGCTGGAGTGTAGTGGCTCCATATGGGCTCACTGTAATGTCCACCTCCCGGGTTCAAGTGATTCTCCTGCCTCAGCATCCTGAGTAGTTGGGATTACAGGCATGCACCAACATGTCCTGATAATTTTTGTATTTTTAGTAGAGATGGGATTTTGCTACTTGGCCAGGCTGGTCTTGAACTCCTGGCCTCAAGTGATCTGCCCACCTTGGCCTCCCAAAGTGCTGGGATTACAGGCATGAGACACTGTCCCTGACCAATACTTATGTTATAATAACTTAGCGGTCATGTTAAAAATACACATAAATTGAAAGAAAAAAACTGATATTTTTCATCCTTAAATAACCACAAGAAATTACTAATAGGATTTGTGTGCCTGTTGGGCATACCAAAGCTTCTTGAATATTGGAATCAGATCGGATTTGGCCACCCTTATTTGTTTCATGTTGACTTTTGTGTGTACTTGCTTTTAATCACAGATACTCTTGAAAATCTGGTGTTAAAAGATATAGCATCAAAAGAAATGTAGCACAATCTAATGTTGAAACTGAACTACTATGGGCTATTATTTCATTCAGTGTCTGAAAGTTGTCAATTATCACTATGTGACTCTAAAATTTAAAAAATATCCTGCTGTTTCCTTATGAGCACATTGTGGTACCCTGGGATGCTTTAGCCCGCAGTTTGGGAACCATGACTGTGGACATGACATTAAGCAAAAGAGCCAGACACCAAGGAACATATCAGTGTGGTTCCATTCACAGGTTTTAAGAACAGGCAAACTTAGTTCTTGGTGTTGGAAATTAGGAATGTGGTTACATTTGTGAAAAGGGAGAGGGTGGTGACTGGGAAGAGGCACACCAGGACCTTCTCGAAAGCTGGTAGCATTTTATTTCTTGATCAAGTGGTAGCTACATACAAAGTGTTCACTTTGTTATAGTTCATCAAGCTGTGCATTTCAGATTAGTTCATATTGTATGTGTCATAAATGAACAAAAAGTTTTTTTAAAAAAATAAAGTAAAACCATTCTAAACAACAAAATGTAAGAAATCACACCTGAAAGCGTAGAGCCCCCTGTGATACCCAAGCCAAATTAAATACATCTTCCTTCAGAACATTAGTCACTATTCTACAATTATGTGCTAACATTCTGGGGTCTCTGGCTAGACTGTGAGCTATGAGGACGGTCACCATGTCTCATTTATCTCTAATTCTCTAGTGCTTCAAATATGATGACACCAAAGACTGTTAATTATTGTTTAAATAAAAAACATTAAAAAAATACATGTACTAACAAAATTTGGTACACGCTGATGTCTTTTCCCTATCTTATATGAATGCCCCAAGTACTATTGTTTTTATGATCCATCTGTGGTCTTTCTTTTAAAAATATTCTTTTGCTTTGTGGACACTCATTTCTAATCTCCAAAGAGAATACATTTCTAAAAGAAGGGAACACAGACATGCACATATTCCCTTTAAGAATTTATTTATATATATATCACAGAGTTCCAATGCTATTGAAAGGGTAGTGCATAAACTAGTGTCAGTCCACAAACTGTTTACTATTGGGTTGTAGCAAGTTAAGTACAGGCATTGAAAATAGGTATTTAGAAATGAGTGCCTAAATTTGATTCTAGTACAATATCCAAGCATGTGCTCACTAAACTTGCCGTGTTGAGCAGGCTAGGTACCAATTTGGGTATTGTCAAACTCACATGGTGAGTTGTATATGACAGGAACTATATACTAGTCATTCATAACAGAACTAGATATTGGTCCAAGATAGATTGGACAGAAATATCTGGTTCTTCCTCATAGGTAGTTTTTAAGGTTCTGCCATTGACAATTAAAACTGGAAAAGACCAATCCCATTATTTTACAAATGGGAGAATTAAGACCTAGAGTTCACCCAGCTTCTGATCGCCAAGCTAGTAGTTTTTACTCTATAATGCCACCTGTATTCCTTAATGAGTGAGGGTTTGGGATAAAATCAATATTATGATTGCTGCTATTAGCAGTAGTAGCAACTGTAGCTACTACTAATACATATCCAGCGCTTAGTAGGTACCACCACAAAAAATTGCTATTTTTATGTCAAAAATGGTCAAGTATTTATAATTTCACATGGTTCAACTCATATGAAATGCTGATAACAATGTCAAGTGTTTTTAAGCCTTAAAGAAGGAGCATCTGCAGCCAGACTTTTTGGGTTCCCATGTTGGCTCTGTCTCTTCCTGCCACATTGTGGCTGGCAAGTTAATTACATTTTCTCTGGTATAAGTTCCTACATCCACAACATGGAGCTAATAATAGTAACTATCTCAGAGATTTATTGAGGCTTAAATGATCCTATGCGGTTGAAGCCCTTGAAATAGCAACTGGCAGATAGTAAGTACTCAGTTAATGTTAGATGTTCTGGCTACTTCCAATATTACCTCTTCGATTAATTCTCAGGACAATCTTGTGAGGTAGAAACATTTTATCCTCAGTTTATAGATAAGGAGACTGGAGCTCAAAGAGAGTAATTTGAACTGTTGTCTGCATGATTGCAAGCACATTCTCTCTGTCTTACATGCTAATTTTCAGTTCAGTGCCTGTTAAATCAAGTCTAATAGTTCCTGGGGCATTTCATCAGAATTGCCAATATTTGAGTGTATCTAGCTTCTGGGATTCTATAATAGTCAGTTATGTAAAAGACAATGCAAGCTATTTTATCGTCTAAGGAAGAGAAGCAAGTTTCGCCATTTCTCTGTTTTTAGGTCTCCAGATTCACAAGCATATTGTAAGCAATAAATAAGCTGATAACAGCTTCTGATTTTATAACAGTACAGCCTTGCGGTGACCCCTTATGTATTGCTGCTACTTCCCAAAGAACCCCCAAACCTCAGTTAGAACTGTCCCCTGGATTACTGAGAGGGAAAACTCCATGTGGCACCTGCTAACAAGAACCTGTGCTGTTAAACTTGGTTAGTGTTTTATACAAGACCAAAGAAACACTGTCTTCTCTTTTTCTCCTTAAACAGAATAAGTAGTCGAGAAATTCCTTTGAGAAGCAACAAGATTTGATTGAATTTTTCAGAATTTCTTATTATTGTGTCAAGTTCACTTGACAGCAAAGGACAAACTGCCTTTCAAATGCTATAAATGAATGCATCAGCAATTCAGAAGGAAAAACGCGGGTTATTAAGTAGGAACAAGTCTCTCTGAATATATTTACACCAGCTCATGGAAACCATTGTCCTCAGAAACCTCTGCAAAAATCTATTTTCTAGTGTCGGTATTGCTTTAAGTTTGACAGATGATGGTAAAATACAATGAAATTACCTTTGAGCTCTGATATGTATATCAGCGCCCACATCTCTCACAATTTGATTTTTTATTTTTCCAACACAGCCATCTATTTTCAATATTATCCCTGCACACTCCAGGTTTATGCCTGGGGAAAATAACTATTTATGCCTAAGTCATACTTATATGCAGAATTTACACTATATGTAAACATACACACATACAATACACATGTGTAAATACATATTAGTTAAGAGCTGGAAGGAACCTTTCAGATCTTCAAGTCTTTACTGTCACATTACAAATGAAGAATCTGAAGCCCCAACAGAAATGCTATTGAGAAGGCCACACAGAAACCTGACTTCAAAGTGAGATTTGAGAGAATAAGGATGTAGCAAGTTCCTACTATGTTCTGAGGGTTACAGGAGGCATATTCCATTCATAAGTTCTTATACCATTTCTATGATGTTGGTATCACTCCCATTTGATAGATGAGAAAATTGAGGCTTACAAAAGTAGCACAGCTAAGAAAATAGCACAGCTAATAAATGGCACAAATGAAATTAAAGCACTGATGTAACTAGGTTCTTTCTAGCATACCAGCATTTCTCTAAATACATTCACTGCCATATCACTGACATAATTTTGCTAATCCACGTGCCAACTGTATTTTAACTTTTTTGATTAATTAATGTAAACATTTATAAAGGAAAAGTTTATCACCATTTAAATAGCATGCCATAAAGAGAAGAAAACTATTGCTGAGTTTTAGCTGGACCCTGCTGCTACCTAAAGACATCAAAATTGCATCCAGCTCTCTTTGTTGAAATGGGAGATTAGCAATGGGTAGAGAGGTATTAAAGGTCTAGTCATACCAAAATGAGACTTAATGATGGAAAGAGAGTTGAGAGGGAAAACTTTTACTATGTGATCTAGCTATTTGATATAATACGTGAGTATCACCTAAAGTCATCTTTGTCCTACCTAAGATCATTTTTGGTTCTATCATGGTACCTGTTCTTCACTTTGAGAAACACTGCAGTACATATAGTAACTGGGCATGTTCTCCAGGTCATGGTTCTGGAACTCCATCAGAATCACCTGAAGGCCTATTTAAAACAGATTTCTGAGTGATCCCGAGTTTCTGACTCAGCATGTCTGCGGCAGGGCCTGAGGTTTTGCCCTTCTAATAGTTCCCGAGTAATTCTGATACAGCCGGCCCAGGAAGCATATTTGGGAACCACTGCTCTAGGTTGTACTTGGGGAGGAGGAGGTAGAGAACATACGGTAGCATGTGTGTGAAGATTTCACCATCAATCTTGCTTGTGAGTGGAGGGATCTGGAATTTTTAATTAAGCAGATGAGGCAAAGAAACAATGTATTCTTGTGTTCCTGTGTCACTTCTTCAACTTAATGAGTTCAGATTGATACTGCACCATACCAGAGCGACCTGCAAAAACTTTATCTAAGAGACAAAAGTACCTCCTCTCAAATAATACAAGTTGTTTTCAGGCTGCTAACTATCTGCAAGGCTCCCTGCATTGGCAACAGCAGCCAGTGATCACTAATAACGAAAGCAGAAAATGAGATTCTCCTTCTTTTCTCCAGACGTTTAAGACAGTACTTAATAAACAAAAAATGCCATATCCATTAATATTCTTTCTCATCTGGTTCTCTTAGTAGTAACTAGCAATTATTAAGTGCCTTCTGTGGGCCAATTATTGAATTGTACTGGCAATTACACACACACACACACACACACACTCTTTTAATGTGAGCATTTGACAGGCGCAGTAACTTGCCAAGGTTACACAATTATAGGAAGCAGAACTGTAATTCATATGCAAGTTTTATTCCAAAGCCCGTTTTTTTTCTACTAAACAATACCCACTCCTATTCTGACTACCCAACTTCATCTCTTAATAAAAGGGTATTTTATAAAAAATGAAAAGAAGAAAAGGCTCCAGAAACTTAAACTTTGTAGTTAAAAGAATTGTAAAACAATGTCACCAGAAAATGAGAAATCAGTGACATTTAATCAGCAGAAAAGCTAGAACTCCCTAGGTTCAAAGCAAAATTTAAGAATGCCTGGCTAAGTTTTACTTTAAGGAGAGTGGGTAAATGGGTAGAATCAGTCTCAGGAATCCAACGAGTTTTAGTTTACTTTTGAGTCACAAAAGAAATTTTCATTCCCTTCTGACATGGCAGAAGCTGTTTGAAGAATGAAAGTGGTAGTAGAAGCAACACTGGGCCAGGTGCGGTGCTTACGCTTGTAATCCCAGCACTTTGGGAGGCTGTGGGCGGATCACCTGAGGTCAGGAGTTCGAGACCAGCCTGGCCAACATGGTGAAACTCCGTCTCTACTAAAAAACAAAAAACAAAAAACAAAACAAAAATTAGCCAGGCATGGTGGTGCATGCCTGTAATCCTAGCTACTTGGGAGGCTGAGATGGGAGAATTGCTTGAATCCAGGAGGCAGAGGTTGCATTGAGCTGAGATTGCGCCACTGCACGCCAGCCTGGGTGACAGAGCAAGACTCCATCTCAAAACAAAACAAAATAAACAAGAAGAAGCAACACTGGATTGAGAGCTCTGAGCCTTGGACTCTGGTGTCCTTTTCTCTCAGTAATTCAGACTTCATTTCTCTAGGTCCTAGTTTTATCATCTGTAAACTAGGCAGCTAGACTAAGTTCCATTCCATTCCTCAGAGCTCCGTTCCTTTGAAAGGCAGCCTCCTTCACTGGACTTATCAGTATCACATGCTTCAAAAGATAAGGCTCATCGTTTAGCACGAGAGGAGTATGATTTAACTGTAAAAAGTCAGCATGTGGGTTTCAACCTTCAGTTTCTCAAGAGCCTATTAATCCACCCATATGTGATGTTATACTGCTATACTCTTTAAAAAATACATGATGAAAACCTGAGGAGAGATCCTGAACCCTTAAATCCATATAATTAGGCTGTAAGAAATGAATTTTCCAAGAATTTTTTAAAAAGTCATCAATGGATGAAATGACAAACTCAGTGGGTGTTATTAAGAGTAATTATAGTAACATCTAGACAGAAAACAACATCTGTGATCTGCCTGATTAATGGCTTAATGTAACTGTATGTCTGTTAATGGAATAATACTCCAAGCAGTCTTGACTGTACATTTGCAAGATCTGGAAACAGAGAAGAAACTGTGGAAGAAGGAAGTAGCAGAGTGCCAGATTGGCTTTGGGAGGTCAAGCTCCTCTCTACAGTTTTCAAATTCTCCTCTGCCTACCTGGCAAATTCAGAGAAAATTGCCTGGCAAATTCAGAGAAAAACCAAGTTCCACCAGACACAGGCATGCACTCCTGTAGGCAAAATAACTAGCAGCTCAGTATAATTTTTATTTTTAACATTACTTTTCACCTTAGGGTTAGGGATAGTGTCACTCCAGCCTTAATAGCAGGCCACAGGACTGTCCTAAATGTATTCATCACAGACCTGCATGCATGGGGCTTTTTTATTTTTTTTCTGGAAGGAGTAACTCATACTTAGGGAAAAAACACATTTTTCTTTAAGCAACAGTTTTCTCCTTTGAACTCAAAGGAAAGTCAAGCTTCCCACCTATAGTTGAAAACTACTGCAATATGGCAGCTTCAGAGTTTATCAAGATGAAATTGGGAAGCCATGTAATGATCTCATTCTCTTCCTCAAAGCTATAGTTTCTTTCTGCTTTGAGAAGAAGGCTGTAACTCCATCTGCTTCCTCAGGCTGCACTGGATGAATGCAGGATAGCAGGATATATTATTTATCATAAAATGTATTCAGGCACATTCAGACTGCAAGCCCTGTTGAGTGAGGAAGTAGCATTTGCCATCAGCTTATCATAATGAAATCAATTGACGAAAAATAAAACATTCTGTTAGAAAAGAAATGTGGATCTCGCACCCAGAAAGCCAAATGAAATTTCAAATGCAGTGTAAAGAAAAGTAGTCATATCCTGGGCCTAATTCAGAACTTAGACTTGATGATTCTAAGAGGCAATTACTCCCCCATTATATAGGTTAAGGCCAGGATGCTTTTACTTACCCCAGCAAAGCTGACGTCCCTATTGAGCAGACTCCAGTAGAAGAAAACAGTGCTTGAAAGTGGCGGTATTTCTCTCGCACACCTTGGCTAAAATAGTTCTCTTTCCTATGGAATTTTTCATTTTTCTGATTATATCTGATTATGTCAAGGCAAGGCCTCAAGCTAACACTCCCTCAGAAACTTAGAGAAGATGACACACTGAAAAGAAATAACTGTGACCAATGAAAGAAAAAGGAAAAATAAGCTGCCTCGCTAGGCCCAAGAGTGAAAGAGAAGAATAGCAAGTCTGTGAATGTGAGGCCGAGTCCCAGAACAGTGAAGGCAGTGTTCTTCGACTTGGCTGAACATTTACATTGTTAGACATGGTTCTTGCATAAATTTCTACTTCCTGTGAATCAATGAGCCAGCAATATCAAAATTCATGGTGATTTTTATTCTCTACGCATGGTACAAAATGACTTTGTCCATCTACCTTTGGTAATGCATGTAATTAAGTGTGAGACAATTATAACCTTGCAGTTCTCTTTGGGGGGCCTGAAATATGATTCAGCTGCTGGGTTTCAAGGGCACTTAAGAAAGAAAAGACTCTCTACAGTGACTTTTATATGCATGCTGATGATGAATTTGCCCTCAAAGCTTCAGAAGTCTCATTTTGCAGTAGTCATAGTTTTTATTGATTACTGTTTGATTATACAAAATAAGGAAAGTGGGACCAATATATTATAGTGGCAGATTATGTGAATGGTGCAAACTTACAGAAAATCAGAATTAGTAATGGGCTTATTGATAGCTTCGATTCATACCCTAAAATGAGATTTTCATGTATAATCCTTTTATTAAGTTACCTACAACTCAACTAATTGGCATAAATGTCATGAGCAAGTTGCTGTATTGATGGATAATTATTGATGGGTCCATAAATAAAAGAGAAGGTAGAATGAGCAGTAAGTTGATTTTAAGGGTAGTAAAAAAAAGAAATATTACCAAACTTAGGAATAAAAGGTGTTGGAAAGAAGTGAACATACTAACTTCATGAAAATCTTTACATAAGATTTTGGTTGGTTGGTAGAGTAATTGTGAACTTTGTATGTACCTACAGATCTTATCAGAATACCAAGAAGAAACATGGACATAGGAAACATTTTACAAGAGAAGAAACACCCACACCATCTAAAATCTGCATCGCTGTGTGTGTAAGACACAAGCTAGGAATTTTTAAGAACATGAAATTTGCCTATGCTTTAGACAGTCTAGAATTTTTAAAAGAGCGAGTTGGCATTTCAAAATTCTCCATCTGCTAAAGAGAAGAATGCTTAAGTCCCTGTTCCTTTACTTCCCTTCACTCAGAGTGCTCTGGCTTCTAGGGACGAGTGTGGTCTAGAATCACAGATACGGTTAAATTGCAGAATATTGCACTAGTGGGTAACTGGAGGTTATTTAGTGAAGCCCCCTTGTGCCATGGAGGAGAATGCTGAAGCTCAGAGAAGTGAATACAATTGCTCAAAGCCAAACAGGAATTTGGTGGTGAACATGGGACCTCAAACCACATTGTCTTTCTCCTAAGACTAGTATATTTTCCATCACTGGTCTTTCTCCTAAGACCAGCTCTTTCCCATTATCACTTTCCTGGTAAAGAGAGAGGCACATGCAATTTAGGAACAAATGTGTCTGTAGCATCCCTTGGGTTTTCATGCTAACCAATGAATAGAGAGTCCTCAAATATGTTCATTTTCCAAACTGCCTGGAAATCGTAAATACTAACAGACATATGGCAAATTATTTATAAAATGTGTTGAAATTAAGTGACACTGTCTGGCTAATTAGAACCCTAATAAACAAATAATAGATAAGAAATGCTATGTTCAGTTTTTATTAGAGGGACTATCTTTCTTTTGTTTGGCTGCTGGAATTTTGTAATAAATCATATTTTAAAAATCACACTCACAGAGTTTTACTTATAGTTCCTATTTCCAGCAGGCAATCTTTCTACACTAAGGCAATTTAGCATTTTTGTATGTATTTGCATTTCTTATTGACCACATCATGCTTTTCATTCCTGATTTTTACACAGTGTGTCATGTCTAGCTTTTGTATTCTTGCTGCCCAAACTAGTCAATTAAAGAAGCAATGGTAGACAGAGGCTTTTGCTCCCATCCCCGACACCAGTACCACACAACCAGGATGGATTTCATAATCTTAAGACTATCTTCTACAAGCTGTGCAAGTGTTATTAGTGGTAATTTTTATTTTTTATTATACTTTAAAGTTCTGGGATACACATGCAGAACATGCAGGTTACATAGGTATACACGTGCCATGGTGGTTTGCTGCACCCATCAACCCGTCACCTACATTTGGCATTTCTCCTAATGCTATCCCTTCCCCTAGCCCCCCAACCCCTGACAGGCCCCAGTGTGTGATGTTTCTTCCCTGTGTCCATGTGTTCTCATTGTTCAACTCCCACTTATGAGAACATGTGGTGTTTGGTTTTCTGTTCCTGTGTTAGTTTGCTAAAAATGATGGCTTCCAGCTTCATCCATGTCCCTGCAAAGGACATGAACTCATCCTTTTTTATGGCTGCATAGTATTCCATGGTGTGTATGTGCTACATTTTCTTTATCCAGTCTATCATTGATGGGCATTTAGGTTGGTTCCAAGTCTTTGCTATTGTGAACAGTGCTGTAATAAACATACCTGTGCATGTGTCTTTATAGTAGAATGACTTATAGGGTATATACCCAGTAATGGGATTGCTGGGTCAAATTGTATTTATGGTTCTAGATCCTTGAAGAATCTCCGCACTGTCTTCTACAATGGTTGAACTAATTTACACTCCCTATTGGTGCTAATTTTTACTGAGTACTTTGTGCCAGCACCATGTTAAGTGCTCTACATACTTTGACTCATTTAATTCCCTCAAAAACTTTAATAGATTGACGCAATTATTCTTATTCTACGAGAGAGAAAATGTAGGAAAAGGAATAAAATAACTGTGCTTTCACATAACTAGGAAGTATCTGGGACTCAAACTACAGATTGTTTAACCATTCACCTTTGAAGGACATCTGAGTTATTTCCAGCTCTGTTATAAAGTTGCTATAAACATTTGTGCACAGGTTTTGTGTGAATAGAAGTATTTTTCTAGAATAAATGCACAGACAGAAGTTTAATTCCTGGATTGTATGGTATGTTTAGTATTTTAATAAATGCTTGTTTAGTATTTTAATCCTAGATGTATTTGCACGTTTAGTATTTTAAGAAACTGCGATATTCTTCCAGAGTGACTATACCATTTTACTTTCTTACCAGAAATGTGTGAGGGCCCTAGTTTCTCCGCATCCTCACCAGCATTTGGTGTTGTCACTACTCTTTAGTTATTTCAATAGGTGTATAGCAATATCTCATTTTGGTTTTAATTTGCATTTTCCTAATGGATAATGATGTTGAGTATCTTTTTATGTGCTTATTTCTCAGTTATATATTTTGTTTGGTGAAATATTTCTTAATGTCTTTTGCTTATGTTTTAATTAATTTTTGTTTGTTTTTTTTTTAGTTTTGAGTGTTCTTTATATACTATACCTTTGTCGGATATGTGGTTGGGAAATGTTTTCTTTCAATCCATAACTTATCTTTTTATCCCCTTCACAGGGTATTACACAGATCAAAAGGTTTATTTACATCAATTTTTAAAGCAATATTGAATCAATTTTCCTTTTCACTCTTTGCATACTTCTAAATCTTAAATATTTATCCTATTTCTCTAAAAATTTTATAATTTTATGAATTACATTTAAGTCTATGATCCATTTTGAGTTAAATTTTGTGTAAACTGTAATGTTAAGATCAAGGTTTCCTTGTGTGTTTATTTGGATTTTCAATTGTACTAGAACCACTTGTTTTATGACTGTCCTTCCTCCATTGAATTGTTCTTGTAACTTTGTAAAAAAAAAAATTAGTTGCATATTTGTGTGGATCTATTTCTGGATTCTGGATTCTTCTCCATTGTTTATACCCCTGCCAGTACCAGTCTTGATGACTATAATCATATAAATCTTAAAATCAGGTAGATAGATTCCTTCCACTTTATTTTTTTTCAAAATTGTTTTAACTATTCTTGGTTTCATGCTTTTTCATATAAATTGTATAATAATCTTGTCTGTACCTAGAAAAAACTTTTTGGATTTTGATAGTGATTGTATTAAATTCATATACTAATTTGGGAAAAATGGACATCTTTACTATTTGAATAGTCCAATCAATGGACATAGTGTGTCTCTTCATCTATGTAGGTCCTCTTTCATTTATGTTATCAACATCGTGTAGTTTTTAGCATATGAGTCCTGTACACATTTTGCTTGCTGCACATATGTTCTGGCTGGTATACCAAAATAGAATAAATTTCTGTATGTTTATCTTGTATTCTGCAATTTTGGTGACTTGCTCATTAGTTCTAGGAGTATATTGTAGATTCCTTGGATTTTCTACAAAGACAATCATGTCACCTGCAAATAGAAACGGTATTATTTCTTCCTTTCTAATATGTATGCCTATTATTTTATTTTCTTGCCTTATTGCACTCACTGAAACTTTTAAGGCTATGTTGAATAAAAGTGATGAGAGTGAACATCATTGTCTTGTTCTCAGTCTCAGGGGGAAAATATTAAGTCTGTCACTAATAAGTATAATGTTAGCTGTATATTGTATGTAGATGATTTGAGTTGTATGTAGATGATTTGTATGTAGATTTGTATGTAGATGATTTGAGTTGAGGGAGTTCTCTTGTATTTCTATTTTACTGAGATATTTTTTATCGTGAATGGATTTTGAATTAGTTTTTTCCTGCATTAATTCCATTTGAATTTAATTAATGCATTAATTGATATGATCATGTAATTTTTCTGCTTTAGCTAGTTAATGTGGTCTATTACATTAATTGATTTTCAGATCTTGACCTAGCTTTGCATACCTGAAATAGACTCCATTTGGCCATCATGTATAATTTTTTAATTGATGAATTTTGTTTTCTAATATTTTGTTAATAACTTTTGCATTTATATTCATGAAGGCTTTGGGTCTATAATTTTTTATACTGTTTTTCCTGGTTTTGATATCAGGGTAATACCAGCTTCATAAAACAATTTGAGATATAACCTATTCTACTTTATCTTCTGGAAAATATTTACAGAATTTGAATTAATTTTTCTTTAAACAAATTGTAGGATTCCCCAGTGAAATCATCTGGGTCTGGAAATGTCTTTTTTGGAAGTTTTAAAATAACAAATTCAGTTTCCTTAACAGATATAGAGCTATTGGAAGTATCTATTTTGCATTCAGTGAGTTTTGGTAGTTTGTATTTTTTTTTTTAAGGAATTGGTCCATTTTGTCTAGAGTTGTCTATATTATTTTCTTATTATCCCTTGATTCTGCTGTGTCAGTGGTGATATCCATTTCATTTTTGATATCGGTAATTTTTGTCTATTCTCTTGTCAGTCTTGCTGGAGGTCTATTAATTCTATTTGTTGATCTTTTAAAAGAACCAGCTCTTTGCTTTGTTGATTTTCTTGTTTTCAATTTTAGGGATTTCTGTTTTTTAATTTATTTCCTTGTGTTTGCTTTGGGATATTTTTATCTTCTTTTTCTATATTTCTGAGATGGAAGCTTAGATTATTAGAGAAAATTTTCTCTTTTCTAGCATAGGCATTTAGTGATATAAATTTCTCTCTTGGCATTGCTTTAGCTGTGTCCCATTAATTTTACTGTGTTGTATTTTAAATTTTTGTTCAGTTCAATGTATTTTTCCCTTGAGATTTGCTGTTTTATTCATGAGCTATTTAGATGTGTATAGTTTAATTTTCAAGTGTTTTCAGATTTCTTTTATCTTTCTATAACTAATTTCTAGTTGGATTTCATTATGGTCAGAGAATGCACTCTGTACAATTTTAATTATTTTAAATTTGTCGACATTCATTTTGTGGCTCAGAATATATTATTTCCTGGTATTTGTTTGATGGCACTTAAAGAGAATGAATATTCTACTTTTCTTGGGGGAGAAGTATTCTACAATTGTCTATTAATCTGTTTTATTTGATGTAAAATTTTTATATTCGATTTTTTATTTTTTAAAAATCAATTGAGAGTGGGGTATTGTGGAATTGTCCATTTTTCCTCCTTTCAGTCATATTGGTTTTTGTTTTACATGCTTTGTGACTATGTTGTTTGGTGCATACATATTTAAAATTGTGTCTCCCTGGTGGATTGAGCTTTTGACCATTATATAATGTCTCTGTCTCTGGTAATTTTCTTTGTTCTGAAGTTTACTTTGTCTGATATTAATATAGGTACTTTTGTTTTCCTTGGATTAATGTCTCCATAATATATCTTTTTCCATCCTTTTATTTTTAATCTGCTTATATTGCTGTATTTGAAGTCAGTTTCTCGTAGAAAGCATGTAACTGATCATTTTAAAATCTACTTTGTCTATCTTTTTTTTAAAATAAATTTTGAATTTTGTTTCTCAAGTCACTGGTATGTAAACTGTGTTCCTTGGAGTCCCAGATATTTTCCACCTGCCAGTGGGTCTGTAACTGGAGGAAAAAGGCAGGCTGCATGGTGAGGTTCCAGGCCCCAAACCCCATGTTTTAATTGGCATAATCACTTGCATATAATGTGATTATTAATATGTTAGGGACTAAGATTACCATTTTGTCTTTTTCTTGTTTTCTTTTTCTTACCTTCCTGTGGTTGTTTGAACAGTTTTTTAGAATTCCATTTTCAGCTTTTGCATTTTTGAGTATATCTCTTTGTATAGCTTTTTGAATGATTTAGATATTGTATTATATATACACAACTTATTACAATCTATAGTTTTATCATTTTACCAGTTTGAGTGACATATAAAAAATTTACTTCTTTTCTCCTTCCTAATTTATAATATAATTTTCATAAATATGTCCTCTACATATATTTAGAAGCAAATGAAACGTGTCATAATTTTTACTTCAATAGTGAAACATAATTTAGAAAGTTTAAGAAAAGCCTATTGCATTTAGCTATTTTTTTAAATTAACATGTTATATTTTCCTTTCTGATGTTCCAAGATTACTTATTTTGTCTTTCCTTTTTGTTTAGAGAACTTCTCTTAGCCTTCTTTTAAGATAAGTCTGCTGGCAACTAATTCCCTTGGTTTTCCTTCATTTGCAAATGTCTTTTATTTCCCCCTTTATTTTTTTGTTTGTTTTCACATATAGCATTGATCCCTTTTGTTTTTAAAGGATGTTTTTACTGGGTATAGAATTATGGATTGAAACTTCTCATATAGAACTTAAAAAATATTTTTGTACTTCCTTCTGGCCCCCATGATTTTTAATGAGAAATACTCTGTCATTTAAATTATTCTTCCTCTAAGGTAAGCCATTATTCTTTTTCTGGTTGGTTTCAATATTTTTTTCTTTGTCTTTGCCTTTCAGAAGTTTAATTATATCTTGGTGTAGATTTCTTTGAATTTATTCTGTTTGGGATTTCCTCACCTTCTTAAATCTGTAAATTCAAAGCACAGGCCCCCTCCCCATAATCCCCCTTCAAATGTCCTTTAAATTTTAGATAAGTCTGTTCTAATCCCAGTCTTCTGTATATCTAAAATACATCTTTTATCTTGCTCTTTGGCACTCTACTATTTATCTTCCAGGCACAGTAAAAAACAGAAAGCAAAAAGCTCAGAAATCTGGAATTTATTAACATCTAGAGTTGATTGTTTCCCACTGCTTGTTGGAAATGGTTTGTATATCCAACACTGGTGACTGGTGACTAGATAACTAAGTTTAGTATGGCCGTCAGGTATGCTTAGTAACTTGGAGACATTGTAATATATTCTAATTGAGAAAAGAAACTTGTGCAGGGTAACTCCATTTATAAATAATGGCCTATATGTGCATCTTTGTGTGACTGGATATTTGCACGAACACAGTGATAGTATCTAAGGACCCATTTTGTGATGTCAACTCTACTTGTTGCAGAAATGTAGAAATAGCTTAATTTTTACTTGTACGTCTTTCGTTTATTATGAATAAATGTATATTACTCTTTTTATTTCTAAAAAATATAAAACAACGTACAAAGCCATTATATTTCCTTTGTGAAGATAATCTCTTTTTGGGGCAATAGTATGTTTTCCAACGATATTCAATTGTCTGCCCAGGGTTCTTGACTTTTGTACACTTAAGGATAATTTGGCTCATGAAATGAAAGCCAACTCTTGATTACTGGGAATGAATTAACTTATGTTTATCAAAGTTAAACAAATGTACAAATGTATAAAGTAGTAGAAAATATAAAATCTTAATAAATTTGTTAAAACAAGAATATATTAAAAGATATCTACTATACAGAATTAGAGAATATCTAGTAAATGTCACATTGTTTCTGTTATGATAATTACAGGACTGATTCACTAACTAAATGAGATAAGTTTAATGGGTCTTGTCTACCTTTCCCCAACATTAGGCTTGGTTCTTCCTCTAGATACATGTAAAGCAAATTTTTAGAAATGAGTTTGAAGGAATATGAAATCTCCTACACCAATTAATTTGATTTCTGAAAGAATTTTAGAAGGTAAAGATGAAACAACAATGAAGAAACTTTATACTAAACAATGTTGAAGGGGGCATGAACAGACTCAGCTAAAAAACATCAGCAACTGCAGGTTGCCTTAGTGGATAACTTTTTGGTCCTTTGTCATAAAGTATTTTATGTGATATTCAGTGCTCCAAAACCAGATATCACACAATGGTAAAAATCTGCAAAGATATTTTGTTTAGCCTTCACATACTTAAATTTTAGATTCATTGGCAGCATTCAAACATTGGGAGATTTCTCATGAGAATGAAGCTATATTTTTCAAGAAACAAGTCAAAAAAACTGTTGATGATGGGTACATATTCCCACAAGTCAAGTGCTGGCCATTGCTGAATAATGGCCATCCACTTTGGACAGGGCACAAGTATCCCCATTCCCCACCCAAACTGCTTCAGTAGGTCATATTATTTGCCTGGCCTCTGTAGCAACTCAGTTTTTAACTTCTATCTTAAAAGATTATTTTCATACTTCTTTACTTTGCTCTTTAGGATGACACTATATAATAATACTGTGTTTCAGAATCTGATGTGTAATTTTGCTTAATTTTTATCAAGTGCATTTTGTACCATCTTTTGGCCATTTTTGTTTTACTCATGATTTTGACTTTGCCATGACCTATTTTCCTTTAATTTTTCCAGTTAATCAAAAGGTGGCTGAATAGTAAGGAAGAAATTGATATTGCTATTTTACACACTAGAATAGAGAACTACCTACCATAATTCTCTTTTCTGCTCATTTTATCAGCTTACTAATTTTTAGCATATAAAACATGAATAAAAATCTCTCCAAAATAAATATTTTGATGATTATGGAATGAAACTTGTAACTTACTAAATTCTGAAGAAAGTTTTAAAATAAAATAACTGAATACTGATGTTGAAATGTTTATATCAAAAATTTAAATAGATACTTTATAGCATTAGGTAAGTCACAAAAGGGGGTCACAAAATAAGCTTGTAATTTTTTGTTCAAATCAATGCATGAGGAGAAAGGGATTAGTTTTGATATTCGTAAAGTATGGAAAAGTTTTTACACTGTATATGCTGTGCAGTAGAAGACATTCATAATTATTTATGCTGAATACAAGGAGAAGTATTGAGTTTTTTCTATTGATAAGAAAAAAGGTAATATAATCCCTCTATTTGTATAGGATAGTGGTTCTCATACCTTTTCGAATCAGGGCTCCTTTACACACTTAAAAATTATTTAGGACCTAAATGAGTTTTTATTTATGTGGGTCTATATTTACTGTATTAGAAACTTAGACATTTTAAAATAATTTACTTCTTTAAAAATAACAATATATCTATTACATCTTAACAAATGGCATATTTTAATGATAAGTAACTATATTTTCCAAAACAAAAAATTAGGAAGAATTTTTCTTTCATATTTGGACTAATAGAAAATAGGTTCTCATATCTGCTTATGCATTCAGTGTTTTGTGCTGTGTTGTTTTGGTTGAAGTACATGAAGAAATATCCAGCCTCATACATAATTGGTAAAAGGGGAATTAGTGCCTCTTTGAAAGGATTTTGGGACTATGGTGGTTAGTTTTCTGTGTCAACTTAGCTAGGCTACAGTCATCAGTTGTCTAGTTGAACACTAATCTAGATGTTGCCATGAAGGCGTTTTGTAGGTCTAAAGCCCATAATCAGTTGATTTTAAACAGGAGAGATTATTTTATATACCCTGAGTGGACCTGATTCAATCGGTTAAAAGGTCACAGAAGCAGAGCTAAGCCTTCTGTGAAGAAGAAAGTTCATCTGTGGATAGCAGTGTTAGCTACTGCTGGATAATTCCAGCCTGCCCTTCCTGATGGTTTACCCTGTGGATTTCACACTTACCTGGCCAGTCTCCATAATCACATAAGTCAATTTCTTGCAATAAGTTTATTCACTGATACCTCCTACAGGTTTCTCTGGTTAAACTGTGACTGATACAGGGACCCTGTGGGGTCCTCAGCCCTTACTTTGAGAATCGCTGGTATACAGTATTCTTTATAAAGCCTTTCATGTCACTAACCTAATTGGCTTAACATAATAATTATGTAGAGCCAATAAGGCAGAAATTGTTACTTCTATCCCAAAAGAGGGTATTTACCAAATGGTACAATCCATCAGCAGCTCTTAATCTTGATCCTTAAATTTCCAGTTCCTATTTCAATCCTTTATCAATCTTTATTCTTTACCATAATAACCTTCTAATATATTTGGAAACATATTTGCAGAAATAGATATTCATATTTTTAATACACATATGCCACATAAAAGTTCCTTGGAAACAGACCATAGGATAGAAAATATATCTTACCTATACATACTTGTTAGCCAAAAATGTATCAAATATTGATTACATAACTATTTCTAAGATATGAATAATAGTGATACAAAAGAAACATAGTGCTTTCTGTTCAAGAAGGTTGTAATTTAACATAGACAGATATGATTATTCACCTCTAAATATATGAGATGATATTTGATAAAGTGATTTGAAATCTAATTCTACTGGTGCTTATTTGAACCTCAGGCATTGGAACAGGTTCACTTTAATCTTTTTCAGCTACTTCCATTATGGGATGGAGTTCCTACCCAATATCTGATGCTCCCACTCGTTAGTGAGTTTATGGAAGACAGGGATAATAACCAATCAGCAGGTGCCTGGTAACAGCCTGTTAATTGAATGGTTGTCTGAGGTCCTAGAGAATGGTTACAACACAGAAAGGTGAAAGGGAAGAGAAAAAGTAAAAAAGTTGGGAGAAATGGCAAAACCAAAGAATGGAAGATGGAATATAAGACAATAAAATGAAAACTGAACTGGAGGAGAGGGCATGTGTTAAAAAGTAACAAGAGACACAACCTATCAAAACCTCTGGGATACAGCAAAAGCTGCGTTAAGAGGAAAGTTCATAGCATTAAATGCCCACACCAAAAAGTGTGAAAAAGCATAAATAGACAACCTAATCTCTCACCTCAAGAAACTAGAGAAACAAGAACAAACCAAATCCAAACTCAGCAGAAGAAAAGAACAAAGATCAGAGAACTAAATGAAATTGAAACAAAAAAATACAAGGGATAAATGAAACAAAAAATGATTTCTTTGAAAAGATAAATAAAATTGGTAGACCATTAGCAGTATTAACCAAGAAGAGAGAAGATCTGAATAAGCTCAATTAGAAATGAAACTAGAGACATTACAATTGGTATCACAGAAATACAAAAGATCATTCAAGGCTACTATTAACACCTTTATGCACACAAACTAGAAAATATAGAGGAGATGGATAAGTTCCTGGAAATATGCAACCCTCCTAGATTAAACTAGGAAGAAATAGAAACCCTGAATGGACCAATAACAAGCACAGAGATTAAATCAATAATAAAACGTATTGCCAACAAAAAAGTGCAGAATCAGATGGATTCACAGCTGAATTATATCAGGCATTCAAAGAAGAATTGGTGCCAATCCTACTGAAACTATTAAAGATAAAGAGGGAATCCTCCCTAAGTTATTCTATAAAATCAGTATCACCCTAATGCCAAAACAAGAAAGGACATAAAAAATAGGAAAACTACAGACCAACATCCCTGACGCAAAAACATAGACGCAAAAATCCTCAACAAAACACTAGCTAACCAAATCCAACAGCATATTACATCATGATCAAGTGTGTTTCATACCAGCCATGCAGGGATAGTTTAACATATACAAGTCAATAAATGTGATACATTACATAAAGAGAATCGAAAACAAAAATTATGTGATCATCTCAATAGACACAGAAAAAGCATTTTATAAAATCCACCATTTCTCTATGATAAAAAACCCTCAACATAATTGGCATAGAAGGGACATACCTCAAAGTAATAAAAGCCATCTATGACAAACCCACAGCCAGCATCATACTGAATGAGGAAAAGTTGAAAGCATTTTCCCTAGAACAAGACAAGGATGCCCATTTTCATTACTTCTATTCGACATAGTACTAGAAGTTCTAGACAGAGCAATCAGACAAGAGAAAAAAAAAATAAAGAGTATCCAAATTGGAAAATAGGAAGTAAAACTGTTGCTGTTTACTGATATGATTGTATACCTAGAAAACCTTAAAGACTTATCCAAAAAGCTCAGACCTGATAAATGAATTCAGTAAAGTCTCAGGATACAAAATCAGTTTACACAAATCAGTAACTGCTGTACATCAACAACACAAATTAAGAATCAAATCGAAAACTCAATCCCTTTTACAACAGCTGCAAAAAAATAAAATAAAATAGAATACTTAGGAATATACCTAACCAAGGAGGTGAAAGGTTTCTGCAAGGAAAATGACAGAACACTGCTGAAAGAAATAATAGGTGACACAAATGGAAACACATCCCATGCTCATGGATGGGTAGAATCAATATTGTGAAATTGAACATACTGCCAAAAGCAATCTACACATTCAATGCAATTCCCATTAAAATATCACCATCATTCTTCACAGAACTAGAAAAGACAATCCTAGAATTCATATGGAACCAAAAAAGAGCCCACAGAGCCAAAGCACTACTAGGCAAAAAGTACAAATCTGGAGGCATCACATTACCCAACTTCAAATTGTACTATAAGGCTATAGTTACCAAAACAACATGGTGCTGGTAAGAAAATAGGCATATAGACCAATGGAAGAGAATAGAGAACCCAGAAATAAACCCAAATACTTACAACCAGCTGGTCTTTGACAAAGCATACAAAAACAAGGTTGGGGGAAAGGACACTCTATTCAATAAATGGTGCTGGGACAACTGACAAGCCACATGTAAAAGAATAAAACTGGATCCTTATCTCTCACCTTATACAAAAATCAACTCAAGATGGATCAAAGACCTAAATCTAAGACCTGAAACCATACAAATTCTAGAAGATAACATTGGAAAATCTCTTCTAGACATTGGCTTAGACAAAGAATGCATGACTAAGAACCCAAAATCAAATGCAACAAAAACAAAAACAAATAAATGGGACCTAATTAAACTAAAAAGCTTCTCCAAAGCAAACAAAATAATCAGCAGAGTAAACAGAGAACCCATAGAGTGGGAGAAAATATTCACAACTATGCATCTGACAAAGGACAAATATCCAGAATCTACAAGGAACTCAAATCAGCAAGAAAAAAAATAATCCCATCAAAAAATGGCAAAGGACGTGAATAGACAATTCTCAAAACAAGATACACAAACAGCCAACAAACATTAAAAATGCTGAACATCACTAATTATCAGGGAAATGCAAATCAAAACTACAATGTGATACCACTTTACTCCTGCACAAATGGCCATAATTAAAAAGTCAAAAAACAATAGATGTTGGTGTGGATGTGGTGAAAAGGGAACACTTTTACACCGATGGTGGGAACGTAAGCTAATACAACCACTATGGATAACAATATGGCGATTCCTTAAAGAACTAAAAGTAGAACTACCATTTGATCCAACAATAGCACTACTGGGTATCTACCCAGAGGAAAAGAAGTCATTATATGAAAATGACATATGCACATGTATGTTTATAGCAGCACAATTTGCAATTACAAAAATATGGAACCAACCTAAATGCTTATCAACCAACAAGTGAAGAAAATGTGGTATATATACATCATGGAATACTACTCAGCCCACAAAGAGAACAAAATTATGCCCTTTGCAGCAACTTAGATGGAGCTGGAGGCCATTATCCTAAGTGAAGTAACTCAGGAATAGAAAATAAAATATTGTATGTTCTCACTTATAAAAGCGGGAGCTAAGCTATGGGATGCAAAGCCATAAGAATGATATAATGTGCTGGGTGTGGTGGCTCATGCTTATCATCACAGTATTTTGGGAGGCTGAGGCAGGTGGATCACCTGAAGTCAGGAGTTCAAGACCAGCCTGGCCAACATGGTGAAACCCCATCTCTACTACAAATACAAAATTAGCCATGTTTGTTGGTGCATGCCTGCAATCCCAGCTACTTGGGAGGCTGAGGCAGGAGAACTGCTTGAACCTGGGAGTTAAGAGGTTGCAGTAAGCTGAGATCACACCATTGCACTCCAGCCTGGGCAACAAGAGCAAAACCCTGTCTCAAAAACAAAACAAAACAAAACCAAAACAAAATAAATGATATAATAGACTTTGGGTACTTGTGGGGAAGGATGGGAGTGGGGTGAGGAATAAAGACTACATATTGGGTACAGTATACACTGCTTGGGTGGCGGGTGCACCAAAATCTTGAATTACCACTAAAGAACTTATCCATGTGAAAATACCCACCTGTACCCCCCAAACTGTTAAAATAGAAGTAGCAAGAGATTTATGTGAACAAATAAAGGGCTTCCATTTTATGAACGACTGGACCAAAAAGCTGTGTTTCATTACAAGCAAGAGGCAGTGTAGTATTGTGGCTAGGAATATGAACTTAGGTCAGTCAGATCTAGATTTATGTCCTAGTTCCATCATGTACTAGCTATATGTTCTTAGATAAATTACCTAACTTTTTTGAGCCTCAGTTTCTACATCTGTAAACATTCAGAAAGTTATTATGAAAATTAAATGTGTAGCAGTCACATAAATCTGTGTACAACTAGGATTTATGAGAGTCTCATATATATGCATATATATATATATGGATACAAAAGTATCTACAGAGCTTAAAAATGGTGGCTATTACCACTCAATAACCCATTTGTTAATATCTGGGCCCACTGAAAGTAAATTCAGTTGATGACAGGTAGTTGTAATGGGAGACAACTAGGAGAACTTACTTACCTAGCTATAGCACTGGTCTTGTTTGTGTCTATACTAAATATATAATAAAGACTTAAAAATAATTCAAGTAAGCTTATGGCCTAGATGTGAGGCATCACTTTTATTTTAGAACACACACAGAAATGGGGCTACTCCTGAGCAACTTGCCACATAGCAGAATGTCAAGGAACTAAATCTCAGGTTTTTCCAAAATTGTACAAATCTAATGATCTGCACATACTTTATTATAAAGATAAGCATGTATCCATATGATATTTTTGACTTAGATTGGGAGGATAAATGACCAATGTTACAGAACATTCACCAGAATTATAGTTGCTAATTTAAAGTAGAATTTCTAGCCTCAGAATTTGTTGGCATGGTTGTGTTTTAGTATAATAGATGTGAATCCCCTTTTCAAAGGAATTAGAAGTTTTAACTGTGGATTTGGGAAGAAATCATTGATTGGAAACTGTTATAAGAATATAGGAAAAAATAAAAGCATTAAGTAAATCACTCAATTGTCTTCGTACATTATTTTCTATTCATTTGATGCAAATATTCAAAGTGATTTTCCAGATAGAAGGGATGGATTTTTCTCAGAGCTGAACATGTATCGTTATTCAGGTCCTGTGCCTATCTAAATCACATGACAAAACTAAGGGGTAATATCACCGAAAGCTCTGAAAACCAACAAAATCCTGAGCAACATAGTGTCACAGCGTCACAAGGCAAGGGGAGCGTTAAGCCTGAGTTGTACAGTTATGTCTGGTCTGCCATGTGAAGCTCCGGTACAAAAACCAACAGCCTTTCTGCATCTAGAGAAGCTGCCAGACTACCGTCATATATGATGTGGCGTAGCAGCTAATTTTGCACAAAAGAGTCAATGCCTTTTTGACTCTTTTCCTGGATTCTCTGGCTTCCTGATTAATTTGAATATCTCAAACAGTTGGTTATTATCTCAGAGAAAACCTGTGGTTCATTTCATCCCTTTGATTCTTTCTCTCTCACTTAATGACCAGTAAACACCACAAGGTTGACAACAGAGCTTTAGGCAGTTTATGCCACATACATTGAACATTTTACTTGCTGAAGCCACTGTTATGAAGTTTGTGATTTTCTTTAAAAGAGAAAAACCTTGCATATTTTCTAACAAGAACCAAACTTCTAAGGCATATGAACAGATACACACACACACACACACACACACACACACACACACACACACACACACGATGCAACTATATCTCTCTGACCTGGAAGTCAGAGATTGGATTATAATAAGCTCATAGAGAAAAGTCTCTCTTTCCTGGACAAATCAATAGCATGATGCTACCCCAAGTTCTGGGAAGGTAAATGACCTCTAAGACTTGCAGACTGGTGAAGACTAGGATTTATTGGAATTACACATTAGACATGACTAACTTTCCAAGAATATTTGATAGGAGGGTCCTGGAATTCATTATACTTATGCAGATTAAGAAAATCAAGATTTGGGGTCCTCAGTAGTGGACAAAGCCAGGGCATAGTATTACACATGCAATCTACAAGTATTTACTTGCATTAATCTAACAGAAACAGGAAACCAAGAAATTCATATAAGGCTTGATTCTGTATTAACCACCGGGGAAAAGTATGCATTGGAATTAATTTGGAGAGACCTGGTTCTAATTTTGCTTCTGCCATCTTGGCTATTTGACCTTTGAAAGCTACTTTATCTGTCAGCCTTAGTTTCTTCATCTGCAAAATAAGCATAACAATGTCTACTTTACATAGTTATTATAAATTATGTATATAAATATATGTAAATTCTCTAGATATCTGACATATGTGTGTACACATAAACATGATCTGGTATAATAAATACTCAAATTGCAGTTGCTATTATTACCACACTCTGCCCAACTCAACTGTAAATTCAGGTACCATAACTAATTGCTTTCATTTTTTCCCATCAGAATGAGAACTGGATGATGCAATTCATCTCCTTAGCTACTGTCATATATCACCCCTACCCCTATTTGGTTAAAAGGAGCTAAGTATAGCTAAACATAAATATTATTTAAAAAGCCTGATTTCTAGGAAACAATACCAGAGACAAAAAAAAAATAGTCCTATAACTGCCTTTTTATTTCAGTTGGGGAAAAAAAAAGTCTTAGAATGTTTGCTCACAAAAACCCTTTAGATTCCCCCTGCACTTCTGGCTTCCAATTCTGCATGTAAGGATCTTAGAACTCAATGCACCATTCTAACAACAAGTGAAATGTTGAACAGACTGAAAAATCAACTCTTCTTGTATCTGTAAGAAAAGTGAGGACACAAGGCAAACCATTGCCCCCAAGATTGAAAGACAGGTGAATACAGCAAACCATGGCTTGCTGGAAAACAGACTCACAGGAAGAAATCACAGTGGGAACCTGGGCCAGGATAGGAAAAGCTGAACTGTAATGAACAAACTGCTGGAGACTTAACTGTGGACAAATCTGAGTTAAAACTCCAGAAGGACCCTGTCATGAGGGGCCAATATTTTTGTTTTAACTCTAGGAGCCTGGCCAGGTGCTCACAGTAAATAATGAACCCTTCCCCTTCAAACATGCTTCTGTCAGGGGAGGGGAAAATGAACCATTTTGAAATATACCAGGCAACTCTGTTCTTTTTAACAAGGCCTGCCCTCAGAGGAGGTTAGCCAACCAGGGCCTAAACTGTTGGAATATGATCAGAGCCTAACTGAATTAGGGGAAAGAAAATACCCAACTCCGACTCCCTCCAGCCTTCCACGTGGGAGAAGAAAAATACCTAATTCCAGTTCATCCTAGCCATCCTGTCCCATGCAAGGGGAAAGAAAGTAACCTGAGAAGCACTTGTGAAGTTCACAGTCAAAAGGCATAGGCTCGCTAAAAGACAGACTGAATCACAGGACTATAGAGTGTTTCTCCTCTTCCCATACCTTGCTAGTACAATATTAAAGCCTTATTTGTGGCTGTTTCTTTTAACTGGTACATCATGTTCAGCTATAATGGATATGATGATTATAAAAAAAATACGAGGTGTACTAAAAGGCAAGAACAAACAATAAAAAAAAAACCCCACAATTTGAGGAGACAGAACAAGCAGCAGAACCAGTCTTGGATGAGATGAAAAGAATCTCTGAGCTTGAAAACATAACAAAAACCTCCAAAACCAAAAAACAAAAAGAGAAAAAGACAAACTAAAAACTTCAGAGCAGAATATCCAAGGATGGGACAACTAAAAAAGACGTAACATACAAATGATGGAAATACTAGAAGGAGAAAAAGATCAGAGAATGAAATAAATGTTTGAAACAATACTGGCTGAGAATTTCCCCAAATTAATGTCAGACACAAAGCCAGAAAGCTCAGAGAACACTAACCAGGAGAAATGCCAAAAAAAAACACAAAAAACAAAACAAAAACCTACAACAAAGCATATTATTTTAAAACTACAGAAAATCAAAGACAAAGAATTCTGAAAGCAGTCAGAGGGAAAAAACACCATACTGTAGGTATAGAATGAAGCAAAGAATTACATCTGACTTTTCCTCAGAAAATGTAAACAATAGTAGAGTGAAATATTTAACATGTTGAGAAAATAACCAACAACCTACAATTCTGTACTTTTTGAAATTATTCTTCAAAAATACAGGAGAAATAAAGCCTTTCTCAAACAAAAATTGAGGGAATTCATTGCCAGTAGACCTGTCTTATAAGAAGTGTTGTTATTTAGAGAGGAGGAAAATACAGGTCAGAAACTTGAATCTTCATAGAGAAAGGAAGAACATCAAAGAATAAGTAAAAGTGAAACTAAAACTTTTAATTGATCAAATAGATAACAGTTTGCTCAAAATAAAAATGCAATATGCTTTATTCCATATATATGTATATATACATATGTGCTTATATATAAGTGAAAAGAATGACAATAATGATACAAGGAACAGAAGGGAGGGAATTAGAATAATTTTTACTCAATTGTTGTTATAATGTACTCACATTACCCTTGAAGAGGTATAGTGTTATTTTTATTTTTCCATAGGTTATTGCCGTACAGGTGGTATTTGGTTACATAAGTTCTTTAGTGGTGATGTGTGAGATTTTGGTGCACCCATCACCTGCGCAGTATATATACACTGCACCATATTTGTAGTCTTTTATCCCTTGCTCCCTTTTCCACTTTTCCCTCCAAGTTCCCAAAGTCCATTGCATCATTCTTATACCATTGCATTCTCATAGTTTAGCTCCCACATATCAGTGAGAACATACGATGTTTGGTTTTCCATTCCTGAGTTACTTCACTTAAAAGAATAGTCTCCAATCTCATTCAGGTCACTGCAAATGCCGTTAATTCATTCCTTTTTATGACTGTGTAGTATTCCATCATGTATATACATCACAGTGTCTTTATTCACTCATTGATTGATGGACATTTGGGTTGGTTCCACAATTTTGCAATTGTGAATTGTGCTGTCATAAATGTGTGTGCGTTTTTTTATATAATGACTTTTTTGTATAATGACTTTTTTGGTATAATGACTTATTTTCCTCTGTGTAGACATCCAGCAGTGGGATTGCTGGGTCAAATGGTAGTTCTACTTTTAGTTATTTAAGGAATATCCCCACTGTTTTCCATAGTGGCTGTACTAGTTTATATTCCCACCAGCAGTGTAGAAGTGTTCTACACTTCTACATCTGCACCAATATCTACTATTTTGATTCTTGAATTATGGCCATTTTTTCTGGAGTAAGGTGGCATCACATTGTGATTTTGGTTTGCACTTCTCTGGTTATTAATGTTGAGCATTTTTTCATATATCTATTGGCCATTTGTATATCTTCTTTTGAGAACTGGCTATTCATGTCCTTAGCCCATTTTCTGATGGGATTATTTATTTGCTTTTTAGTTCATTGTTGATTCTGGATATTACTTTTCTGTCAGATGTATAGATTGTGAAGATTTTCTCCCACTCTGTGGGTTGTCTGTTTACTCTGCTGACTGTTCCTTTTGCCAAGCAAAAGCTTTTTAGTTTAATTAACTCCCAGCTACTTAACTTTGCTTTTATTGTATTTGCTTTTGGGTTCTTGATCATGAAATCCTTGCCTAAACCAATGTCTAGAAAGGCTTTTCCAATGTTATCTTCTAGAACTTTTATAGTTTCAGGTCTTAGATTTGAGTCCTTAATACATCTTGAATTGATTTTTGTATGAGGTGAGAGTTGAGGATCCAGTTTTATTCTCCATGTGGATAGCCAATTATCCTAGCACCATTTGTTGAAAAAGGTGTCATTTCCTCATTTTATGTTTTTGTTTGCTTTGTCGAAGATCAGTTGGCTGTAAGTATTTTGGTTTATTTCAGCGTTCTCTATTCTTTTCCATTGGCCTATGTGCCTATTTTTATACCAGTATTATGCTGTTTTGGTGACTACGGCCTTAGAGTATAGTTTGATATCAGGTAATGTGATGCCTACAGATTTGTTTTTTGCTTTGTCTTGCTTTGACTATGCGGTCTTTTGTTTTGGTTTCATATGAATTTTAGAATTGTTTTTTCTACTCTGTGAAGAACGACGGTGGTATTTTGATGGGGATTGCATTGAATTTCTAAATTGCTTTTGGTGGTATGTTCATTTTCACAATATTGGTTCTACCCATCCATGAGCACGAGATGTGTTTCCATTTGTTTGTGTCATCTATGATTTCTTTCAGCAGTGTTTTGTAGTTTTTCTTGTAGCGGTCTTTTGTCTCTTTGGTTAGGTATATTCCTAAGGTTTTTTTTGTTTTTTTTTTTTCAGCTATTATAAAACAGTTTGAGTTCTTGATCTGATTCTCTGCGGTCTCTTGTTTTGGTTTCATATGAATTTTAGAATTGTTTTAGTAAATTAGAAACAGAGGAGAACTTCCTCAACTTGATGAAGAATATCCACAAAAACCTATGGTTAACATCATTCTTCACGGTGAAACTCAAAATTTCTCATTAACATCAGGAACAAGGCAAGGTTATTCCATTTCACTAATCCATTTCAATATCATAGTAGAAGTCCTAGCTAATGCAATAAAGACAACATAATAAAAGGTACACAGGTTAGGAAGAAAGAAATATAATAGTATTTGTTCACAGATGACATGATTGTCTCTGTAGAAAATCTTTAAGAATAGACAAAAACATGGCCAGGCTCTCGAGGAGCCAAGTTGGCCGAATAGGAACAGCTCCGGTCTACAGCTCCCAGCGTGAGCGACACAGAAGACGGGTGATTTCTGCATTTCCATCTGAGGTACCGGGTTCATCTCACTAGGGAGTGCCAGACAGTGGACGCAGGTCAGTGGGTGCACGCACTGTGCGCGAGCCAAAGCAGGGCGAGGCACTGCCTCACTTGGGAAGTGCAAGGGGTCAGGGAGGTCCCTTTCCGAGTCAAAGAAAGGGGTGACAGACGGCACCAGGAAAATTGGGTCACTCCCACCTGAATATTGCGCTTTTCAGACCTGCTTAAAAAATGGTGCACCACGAGATTATATCCCACACCTGGCTCGGAGGGTCCTACACCCACGGAGTCTCGCTGATTGCTAGCACAGCAGTCTGAGATCAAACTGCAAGGCGGCAGCCAGGCTGGGGGAGGGGCGCCTGCCATTGCCCAGGCTTGCTTAGGTAAACAAAGCAGCCCAGAAGTTCGAACTGGGTGGAGCCCACCACAGCTCAAGGAGGCCTGCCTGCCTCTGTAGGCTCCACCACTGGGGGCAGGGCACAGACAAACAAAAAGACAGCAGTAACCTCTGCAGACTTAAATGTCCCTGTCTGACAGCTTTGAAGAGAGCAGTGGTTCTCCCAGCACGCAGCTGGAGATCTGAGAACGGGCAGACTGCCTCCTCAAGTGGGTCCCTGACCCCTGACCCCTGAGCAGGCTAACTGGGAGGCACCCCCCAGGAGGGTACACTGACACCTCACACGGCAGGGTATTCCAACAGACCTGCAGCTGAGGGTCCTGTCTGTTAGAAGGAAAACTAACAAACAGAAAGGACATCCACACCAAAAACTCATCTGTACATCACCATCGTCAAAGACCAAAAGTAGATAAAACCACAAAGATGGGGAAAAAACAGAACAGAAAAACTGGAAACTCTAAAACGCAGAGTGCCTCTCCTCCTCCAAAGGAACACAGTTCCTCATCAGCAACGGACCAAAGCTGGATGGAGAATGACTTTGACGAGCTGAGAGAAGAAGGCTTCAGATGATCAAATTACTCTGAGCTACAGGAGGACATTCAAACCAAAGGCAAAGAAGTTGAAAACTTTGAAAAAAATGTAGAAGAATGTATAACTAGAATAATCAATACAGAGAAGCGCTTAAAGGAGCTGATGGAGCTGAAAACCAAGGCTCCAGAACTACGTGAAGAATGCAGAAGCCTCAGGAGCCGATGCGATCAACTGGAAGAAAGGGTATCAGCAATGGAAGATGAAATGAATGAAATGAAGTGAGAAGGGAAGTTTAGAGAAAAAAGAATAAAAAGAAATGAGCAAAGCCTCCAAGAAATATGGGACTATGTGAAAAGACCAAATCTACATCTGATTGGTGTACCTGAAAGTGATGGGGAGAATGGAACCAAGTTGGAAAACACTCTGCAGGATATTATCCAGGAGAACTTCCCCAATCTAGCAAGGCAGGCCAACGTTCAGATTCAGGAAATACAGAGAATGCCACAAAGATACTCCTCGAGAAGAGCAACTCCAAGACACATAATTGTCAGATTCACCAAAGTTGAAATGAAGGAAAAAATGTTAAGGGCAGCCAGAGAGAAAGGTCGGGTTACCCTCAAAGGGAAGCCCATCACACTAACAGCGGATCTCTTGGCAGAAACCCTACAAGCCAGAAGAGAGTGGGGGCCAATATTCAACATTCTTAAAGAAAATAATTTTCAACCCAGAATTTCATATCCAGCCAAACTAAGCTTCATAAGTGAAGGAGAAATAAAATACTTTACAGACAAGCAAATGCTGAGAGATTTTGTCACCACCAGGCCTGCTCTAAAAGAGCTCCTGAAGGAAGCGCTAAACATGGAAAGGAACAACCAGTACCAGCCACTGCAAAATCATGCCAAAATGTAATGACCATCGAGACTAGGAAGAAACTGCATCAACTAACGAGCAAAATCACCAGCTAACATCATAATGACAGGATCAAATTCACACATAACAATATTAACTTTAAAGGTAAATGGACTAAATGCTCCAATTAAAAGACACAGACTGGCAAATTGGATAAAGAGTCAAGACCCATCAGTGTGCTGTATTCAGGAAACCCATCTCATGTGCAGAGACACACATAGGCTCAAAATAAAAGGATGGAGGAAGATCTACCAAGCAAATGGAAAACAAAAAAAGGCAGGGGTTGCAATCCTAGTCTCGGATAAAACAGACTTTAAACCAACAAAGATCAAAAGAGACAAAGAAGGCCATTACCTAATGGTAAAGGGATCAATTCAACAAGAAGAGCTAACTATCCTAAATATATATGCACCCAATACAGGAGCACCCAGATTCATAAAGCAAGTCCTGAGTGACCTACAAAGAGACTTAGACTCCCACACATTAATAATGGGAGACTTTAACACCCCACTGTCAACATTAGACAGATCAATGAGACAGAAAGTCAACAAGGATATCCAGGAATTGAACTCACCTCTGCACCAAGCCGACCTAATAGACATCTCCAGAACTCTCCACCCCAAATCAACAGAATATACATTTTTTTCAGCACCACACCACACCTATTCCAAAATTGACCACATACTTGGAAGTAAAGCTCTCCTCAGCAAATGTAAAAGAACAGAGATTATAACAAACTATCTCTCAGACCACAGTGCAATCAAACTAGAACTCAGGATTAAGAATCTCACTCAAAACCACTCAACTACATGGAAACTGAACAACCTGCTCCTGAATGACTACTGGGTACATAACGAAATGAAGGCAGAAATAAAGATGTTCTTTGAAACCAACGAGAACAAAGACACAACATACCAGGATCTCTGGGACACATTCAAAGCAGTGTGTAGAGGGAAATTTATAGCACTAAATGCCCACAAGAGAAAGCAGGAAACATCCAAAATTGACACCCTAATATCACAATTAAAAGAACTAGAAAAGCAAGAGCAAACACATTCAAAAGCTAGCAGAAGGCAAGAAATAACTAAAATCAGAGCAGAACTGAAGGAAATAGAGACACACAAAACCCTTCAAAAAATTAATGAATCCAGAAGCTGGTTTTTTGAAAGGATCAACAAAATTGATAGACTGCTAGCAAGACTAATAAAGAAAAAAGAGAGTAGAATCAAATAGACACAATAAAAAATGATAAAGGGGATATCACCACCAATCCCACAGAAATACAAACTACCATCAGAGAATACTACAAACACCTCTACGCAAATAAACTAGAAAATCTAGAAGAAATGGATAAATTCCTGGACACATACACTCTCCCAAGACTAAACCAGGAAGAAGTTGAATCTCTGAATAGACCAATAACAGGAGCTGAAATTGTGGCAATAATCAATAGTTTACCAACCAAAAAGAGTCCAGGACCAGATGGATTCACAGCCGAATTCTACCAGAGGTACAAGGAAGAACTGGTACCATTCCTTCTGAAACTATTCCAATCAACAGAAAAAGAGGGAATCCTCCCCTAACTCATTTTATGAGGCCAGCATCATTCTGATACCAAAGCCGGACAGAGACAACCAAAAAAGAGAATTTTAGACCAATATCCTTGATGAACATTGATGCAAAAATCCTCAATAAAATACTGGCAAAACGAATCCAGCTGCATATCAAAAAGCTTATCCACCATGATCAAGTGGGCTTCATCCCTAGGATGCAAGGCTGGTTCAATATACACAAATCAATAAATGTAATCCAGCATATAAACAGAGCCAAAGACAAAAACCACATGATTATCTCAATAGATGCAGAAAAAGCCTTTGACAAAATTCAACAACCCTTCATGCTAAAAACTCTCAATAAATTAGGTATTGATGGGACATATTTCAAAATAATAAGAGCTATCTATGACAAACCCACAGCCAATATCATACTGAATGGGCAAAAACTGGAAGCATTCCCTTTGAAAACTGGCACAAGACAGGGATGCCCTCTCTCACAACTCCTATTCAACATAGTGTTGGAAGTTCTGGCCAGGGCAATCAGGCAGGAGAAGGAAATAAAGGGTATTCAATTAGGAAAAGAGGAAATCAAATTGTCCCTGTTTGCAGATGACATGATTGTATATCTAGAAAACCCCATTGTCTCAGCCCAAAATCTCCTTAAGCTGATAAGTAACTTCAGCAAAGTCTCAGGATACAAAATCAATGTACAAAAATCACAAGCATTCTTATACACCAATAACAGACAAACAGAGAGCCAAATCATGAGTGAACTCCCATTCACAATTGCTTCAAAGAGAATAAAATACCTAGGAATCCAACTTACAAGGGACATGAAGGACCTCTTCAGTAACTACAAACCACAGCTCAATGAAATAAAAGAGGAAACAAACAAATGGAAGAACATTCCATGCTCATGGGTAGGAAGAATCAATATCGTGAAAATGGCCATACTGCCCAAGGTAATTTATAGATTCAATGCCATCCCCATCAAGCTACCAATGATTTTCTTCACAGAATTGGAGAAAACTACTTTAAAGTTCATATGGAACCAAAAAAGAGCCCACATTGCCAAGTCAATCCTAAGCCAAAAGAACAAAGCTGGAGGCATCACACTACCTGACTTCAAACTATACTACAAGGCTACAGTAACCAAAACAGCATGGTACTGGTACCAAAACAGAGATATAGATCAATGGAACAGAACAGAGCCCTCAGAAATAATGCCACATATCTACAACTATCTGATCTTTGACAAACCTGAGAAAAACAAGCAATGGGGAAAGGATTCCCTATTTAATAAATGGTGCTGGGAAAACTGGCTAGCCATAAGTAGAAAGCTGAAACTGGATCCCTTCCTTACACCTTATACAAAAATCAATTCAAGATGGATTAAAGACTTAAACGTTAGACCTAAAACCATAAAAACCCTAGAAGAAAACCTAGGCATTACCATTCAGGACATAGGCATGGGCAAGGACACTTCATGTCCAAAACACCAAAAGCAATGGCAACAGAAGACAAAATTGACAAATGGGATCTAATTAAACTAAAGAGCTTCTGCACAGCAAAAGAAACTACCGTCAGAGCGAACAGGCAACCTACAAAATGGGAGAAAATTTTCACAACCTACTCATCTGACAAAGGGCTAATATCCACAATCTACAATGAACTCAAACAAATTTACAAGAACAAAACAAACAACCCCATCAAAAAGTGGGCGAAGGACATGAACAGACACTTCTCAAAACAAGACATTTATGCAGCCAAAAAACACATGAAGAAATGCTCATCATCACTGGCCATCAGAGAAATGCAAATCAAAACCACAATGAGATACCATCTCACACCAGTTAGAATGGCAATCATTAAAAAGTCAGGAAACAACAGGTGCTGGAGAGGATGTGGAGAAATAGGCACACTTTTACACTGTTGGTGGGACTGTAAACTAGTTCAACCATTGTGGAAGTCAGTGTGGCGATTCCTCAGGGATCTAGAACTAGAAATACCATTTGACCCAGCCATCCCATTACTGGGTATATACCCAAAGGACTATAAATCATGCTGCTATAAAGACACATGCACACGTATGTTTATTGTGGCATTATTCACAATAGCAAAGACTTGGAACCAACCCAAATGTCCAACAATGATAGACTGGATTAAGAAAATGTGGCACATATACACCATGGAATACTATGCAGCCATAAAAAATGATGAGTTCATGTCCTTTGTAGGGACATGGATGAAATTGGAAATCATCATTCTCAGTAAACTATCGCAAGAACAAAAAACCAAACACCACATATTCTCACTCATAGGTGGGAATTGAACAATGAGATCACATGGACACAGGAAGGGGAATATCACACTCTGGGGACTGTGGTGGGGTGGGGGGAGGGGGGAGGGATAGCATTGGGAGATATACCTAATGCTAGATGACGAGTTAGTGGGTGCAGCGCACCAGCATGGCACATGTATACGTATGTAACTAACCTGCACAATGTGCACATGTACCCTAAAACTTAAAGTAAAATTAAAAAAAAAAAAAAAACCACGGCCAGGCGCGGTGGCTCTCGCCTGTAATCCCACACTTTGGGAGGCCAAGGTGGGTGGACGGTGAGGTCAAGAGATGGAGACCATCCTGGCCAACATAGTGAAATCCTGTCTTTACCAAAAATACAAAAAATTAGCCGGGCGTGGTAGCGGGCGCCTGTAGTCCCAGCTACTTGGGAGGCTGAGGCAGGGGAATGGCGTGAACCCAGGAGGTGGAGCTTGTAGTGAGCCGAGATGGCGCCACTGCACTCCAGCCTGGGCGACAGAGCAAGACTCCATCCAAAAACAAACAAACAAACAAAGAATAGACAACTTCTGGAACTAATAAGTGATTGTATCAAGGTTTCAGGATACGAAGTTAACATACAAATGCCAATTGCTTTGTATATACCAACAATAGTCAAGTGGAATTTGAAATTCAAAACACAGCAAACACCATGTATATATTAGTACTCCTAAAAATGAAATTCTTCTGTATAAATCTAATATAAATCTAATAATCTATGTGTATAAATCACATAGAATATATCATCTATGTGAGAAACTATTATAAAAGAAATTATGTAAAAGAAATTATATAATAGATTACATAATATATATAAAATATAAATAAAAATATATAATGTAAATATTTTTATATATAGATTATATAATATATAAAATATAAATAAAATATAAATATTTTTATATATTATATATAAATAAATTATATAATATAAAAGAAACTATGATGAAAGAAATCAAAGGAAAAATCAAATAAATGAAGAGATATTTCATGGGTAGGAAAACTCAATGTGTCAAGATATCAGTTCTTCCAAACTTGATCTATAGGTTCAATACAATCCCATTCAAAATTCCGAGAAGTTCTTTTGTGGCTATCAACAAACTAAGTTTACGTGGAGAGGAAACAGATGCAGAATAGACAACAGAATATGGAAGAACAAGGTGGGAGAACTGACATGCAACTTCAAGACTTACTTTAAAGCTACAGTAATCAAGACAATGTGGTACTGGTAAAATAATTGAGAAATAGATCAACAGCACAGAGTGGAGAGACCAGAAATAGAACCACATAAGACCCATGTATATATACAATCAGCTGATCTTTGACAAATGAGCAAATATAATACAATGGAACAAAGACTGTCTTTTCAAGAAATGGTGCTGGAACAACTGGACATTCACATGCCAAAAAAAATCTAGGCACAGATCTTACATCTTTCACAAAGATTAAATCAAAATGGATTAGAGACCTAAATATAAAATACAAAACTATAAAAATCCTAGAAAATGTAGGAGAAAACCTAGATGACCCCAGGTATGGTGATGACTTTCTAGATGAAACACTAAAGGCACACTCCATGAAAGAAGTAATTGATAAGCTAGACTTTATTAAAATTAAAAACTTCTGCTCTCCGAAAGACAACATCAAGAGAATGAGAAGACAAGACATAGACTGGGAGGAAATATTTACACAAGAAATGTATGATAAAGACTATTACCCAAAATATACATAGAATTCTTAAAAATCAACAAGAAAGCAAGCAAGCCATTTAACAAATGGACAAAAGATCTTAATACACTTTACCAAAGAAGATGTACAGAGGGCAAATAAGCATATGAAAAAATGTTTATTTTTTCACATTAAATGGCATCAGGAAAATGCAAACTAAAACAACAACAGGATACCACGACACACCTATTAGAATTATCAAAATCCATTGAATGACAACACCAAATGCTAACAAGAATGGGGAATAAGAGAAACTCTCCTTCACTACTGGTGGAAATGTAAAATGGCACAGCTGCTTAAGAAGACAGTTTGGTGATATCTTACAAAACTAAACATACTATTACCATATAATCCAACAATTGTGCTTCTTGGTATTTATCCAAAGGGATTTAAAACTTTTATCTATACAAAAACCGGCACACAGATATTTATAGTAGCTTTATTAATAATTGCCAAAATTTCGGCCGGGCGTGGTGGCTCACACCTGTAATCCCAGCACTTTGGGAGGCCGAGGCGGGTGGATCACGAGGTCAGGAGATCTAGACCATCCTGGCTAACACGGTGAAACCCCATCTCTACTAAAAATATAAAAAATTATCCGGGCGTGGGGTGGGCGCCTGTAGTCCCAGCTACTTGGGAGGCTGAGGCAGGAGAATGGTGTGAAAGCGGGAGGTGGAGCTTGCAGTGAGAGGAGATGGCGCCACTGCACTCCAGCCTGGGTGACAGAGCAAGACTCCATCTTAAAATGAATAAATAAATAAAACAATAATAATAATTGCCAAAAGTTGGACGCAACCAAGATTTCCTTCTATAAGTGAATGGATAAATAAACTGTGGTACATGTACACAATGAAATATTATTTAATGCTAAAAAAGTTAGTGATCAGGCCATGAAAATACAGAGTAACCTTAAATGCATATTACTAAGTTAAAGAAGCCAATCTAAAGAGGCTACAAACTGTATAATATTCCAGAAAAGGTAAAACTCTGGAGACAATAAAATATCAGTGGTTGCCATTGGAAGGGGGAGGAGGAGGCAAGGAATGAACAGGTAGGCCACAGAGAATTTCTAGGACAGTGAAAATGTTTTTTGTGATACTATAATGATAGATACATATCATTATATATTTGTCCAAACACAAAGAAAGTACAATACCAAGAGCAAATCCTAATGTAAAACGTAGAGTTGGGATACTTAAGACGTGTCAGTGTAGATTCTTCAATTTTAACAAATATGCCATTCTGGTGGGGGATGTTGATAATGGGAGAGGCCAGGCATGTGTAGGGGATGGGATATGTAGGAAGTCTCTGCATCTTCCTCTCAACTTTGCTGTGAACTTAAGATTGTTCTAAGAAAATACATTATTTTTAAATTTAAAAATTTTATTTTTTTTGTAGAGATGGGGTCTGGCCATGTTGCCTAGCCTGGTCTTAAACTCCTGGCCTCAAGTGATCCTTCTGCCTCAGCCTCCCAAATTGCTGAGATAATAAGTGTGGCCATTGTGCCTGGGGTTAAAAAATAAATTCATAAAAAAGTCATGATTTCTTCTTTATAAAACCCTCCTGAAAACAAGAAGTCTTATTCAAAGATGAGTAATCACAAAGGAAATGTCATAAAATTTGTCAATTTAACAGGTAAATACCGTAAAGAAAAATGGTATGGAGGAATGGAAGAGAAAAAACAAGTTAAGAATAATGAACACTCAAAAATATATGGCTATGGAGGAGATAAAATTGTGACCAAGGTTTCATTGTTCACACAACACAACTAAGCCACCAAATGAAGCAATCACCATAAAACCAGATATCAAGTCAGAATTCTAAAACCTAGGGAAATTTGTAAGAATGCAGAAGAAAAAATAGAATTGGTTGGTCTGCCAAAAAAAATGAAATATAAAACTGAAGCCAACACAAAAATAAATCTAAAATGAAAAGCCATAGAAAGAAAACTAAAAACTAGGATAAATATAGTAAACATCAAATATAGGAATGGGAAAAGCAAGTTTTAAGGGATGACAGTTCAAGTCCTGATAAAGTAGGTAAATAGTTTCAGGAAATGCATTACTTACTAAATACTCAGGAATAGAAAACATCGCTTAAGAATCTCATACCCAACCAAACATCACTTGCATATAAAGGCAACAGAGAAACATTTTTGAACATGCAAGAATGTAGGAAATACTGTTCCCAAGAGTCTTTATTGAAGAATCTATTGAATGAAAACTTCAGCCCATCTGTATATGGTTACAAAAATTATAGCAAAAAAGACCTGTGGTGAGGACAGAATCACTTTAACTACAGGGCTGAGACTAAATGTCATGTATGGATAATGGTTTCAGGGTAGAATATGAGTTTTATTAACCCTGAAAAAGGTTGGAAGGAGGAGAGGGATAAATAAGGGCAGGTGGTGTGTAGTGATTTTTTTCACATTTTTATGGCTGAGAATAGTAAATTAAGCACTAGAAGCACTAGAAGTATAACAAAAGTAACATTAGCAGTAATACTGTAAACTGATTTGGGTGGTAAAGGGGAAAAGAGAACATGCCTTAGTTTATCACGTTTATAACAGAAAGTTGATAGATACTGTTTAAAGAATTAGTGAAATGATAATTACTAGAGTAATAAAATTATTGCTAGAGCAGAAGTGTAAGCCTTCCAAATTATCAAAACACACGCAAAAAGAAAAGGAAACTATAGATTAAAGGAGTTTAAAGAGTGTTAACAAAAGTATTCCGTGGACTTTACATTAAGTTATTAAGAGTTTGAGTCATTATGGCTGCTTTCGTACATTATTTTAGTGTTTGTACAGTTCAACAATCAGTGAACTAAATGTCTTTTAAGTAATTAGTGCTACTTTTCTTTTCCCTTAAGACTCTATCAGGAAATCTCAGCATCTTGAAACTGAGACATGTAATAAGTGAAGGAAAACAGTTTTGAATTGTTAGCACTCTTCAAATGAACGAATTGTACATTTTTCTCTACAGCATATTGTTTATAAGCAACATAATATTGTTAAATAAGTATAATTCACTGTTGCTACTTTAGCAAGCCTGCCAAAATCTCATTGGGACTGTTACCCTCCTCACACAGACACACACACACTCTTTTCTGGAGCCAACCATCTTGTAACAGTCTTTTGTGAATTACAAAGGGAGTAGATTAGGTGGCTTAATGTTGTACTTGTTGAAATAAACCCAATGTGTGTAAGAGTCAAAGAGTTTTCACATCTTCCAGGTAGGAGGAAATTGTATCTCACCAAAATCAGCTTCAGTTAATTGATCAGTATTTTCCAAGAAGGGGACTGACATGTATAAAGATGTATAAAGATGTTAGGTAGTATGAAATGATGTAGGATGATAATTAAAAATAATATCATATTTATGTCTATAGTGATAATTTTTCTTTTTAAGTTTCCTTTAGTATAATCAAAAGAACTGGCTATCTCAGCCTGATGCTAGCATGATTTAAACATATAACATGCTCTAATCTCCCTAATCTCCCTGTGGGAGATACCACAGCTCAGAGTTTTAGGCAGGCGTCATTATTTATTTAGAGTGAAATGTTATTTATATTTATTTTTATCATTACTTTTTCATTATGGCAATTGATATAAGTATTCCATTTATGGAAAAAATATTTTTAAAAAATTTAAGTGAAAAGTTAATTTAAAGAAAAGTAAAAAATAAATAGCAGTCATACATTTAAGCAAACATTTGAAAGGTGGCACACAAATGTCTAAAATTTGAGAAACAGTGAATTAATTCATTTATTCCAAAGGCATTTGAGTACAAGAACAAAGCACTCTACTGGATGTTTAATTGCAGGAAAAAGTTATATTCTGTCCACAAATTTGCATGTTTTGGTTGGGCAGAAAGAAAAACCCAGGAATCCAACAAATCTCTCTTTTGCTGCAATAGAGCCAGGGCCAAATTCCAATCACCGTTGGAACTGGTGGCAAGGCCTCCTCCTTCCTTTCTGTTTTTATCCCTGGCTACCCTGTTTTGCATTATGTTTGATCCCACAAGCCACCTCTGATCCTTTTGGGAATAGGCAGAGTATATAAAAAGGGAGGTGATTAATCAGTATTTGTTGAATAAATGAATACATAAGTGAATGAATAAGTAAACAGAGAAAACTGATGAGCTGAGAGGGAGAATTGCAGAGCTCTGATTGTTCTCAGCTCTCCTGTTTTAATAAGGGAAGCGGATGCAAGGAGCACACTGTGATTCTAAGAAGGAAGGCAGCACCCTGCATGGCCCAGATGGGGAATGTGAAGGCTGAACCAGCAGAAAACTAGAGAAAAAGTGGTTCCTCAGTGAGTGAGTGTCTTCTCCCCAGATGTATTTGCATGGCTGATAAGCCCATGTAAACAATGGACCCAGAAATAACTTTGCAGGCAAGTCAGAGGAAGACACCTTGGCAAAACCCCAGGATCAAATGTATTGATTCCTAACTTACAGAAATCATGAAAATAGGAGTCTTTGTTGCTGATGGAAAGGAAAGTTATTAAATCCCATTTTGAGTGGGAACTCAGCCTGAATTAATGAGAGAGAAAAAACATGGCATAGAATGAGTCTGTCTTTGCTCTCTGCTCAAGACGGGCATCAGCATGACACTGAAAGCTCTTCTAGGGACAAGAGAAAATCCCTTGTGCCTTATGAAAGTTGTTTTCATCCTAGTTGATGGGATAAATCATAAGCTATTGAAGAAAATATCTGTAGCAGAGCAAAGAGAAATGCCAGAGTGAATTTAACCCATTGTTCTTGATTTTCTAGCTTTTTGCATTTCCTACTTTGTGCTGTAGTAACTTAGATACACGTCCTCTTGCTCCTAAATTACTCTTCCAGAAGTCAGGATCTGCTTCTTGATTCATTTTTGTATCCTCCACAGTAACCACTTTTTGAGAAACAATAGGTGATCAATATATATTGGTTAAATGTGTAAATGACAGTAGAAATTTGAAAATCACCGAAGAATCAGATTCTTTTCCATGAATGTTTGAGCACCTACCAGGAAACAGACGCTACTTTTAGCCATCGGGGGAATTTTTAGAAATCAAGGCAACATCTCCTGTTTTGTAAACCCATGGCTGTGGTTGCCACAAACACAAGTTTTATACAAGCAAGGACATGAGAAACAAAGTGAGAGGTGGATAAGGCAAAATGACATGGGTGCACAGAGAAAATGGAATTGGATTTCAACCTTGGGGTTATTTAGGGTGGAGATCAAGAAAGGAACATTTGATGGAGGACTTGAAAGATAAAACTAAACAGGTACAGATAACTGGAGAAAAGCATCTCGGGATAATTTTACCATAGACAACATTTGGAGGTGGAATAAAGTAGAGTGTGTTTTGAGGCCCTGGATAGCTTAGAGGGGCTATGTGTGTGTTTGTATTGGTGAGGGGAAGTAACAGGGAAATAATCAAGAAGTTAAAGCCCATCTGGGCACAGATTTCACAGAGCCTTAAAAACCCGGCAAGGTCATTTGGGTTTAGCTTTAAATAATGAAGCTCATGGAGTGATGACACTATCAAGGCTGCCCTTTAGGATCTAGACGCAAGAATTGGCTGATCTGACCAACAAATCTAGGGAAGAATTAACATCCCTTCTTCCAGAGTGGTCCTTTTCCTTCCTAGAAATCATGAATGCACAATGCAAAAAGAACCTCTAAAAGATGACAGCTAACTCAGGGCAATGGTCCATGCCATAATTTCATTCCAGGCAACAAGAACGAACCATATAAGATAGAGACTATGGGAGAGTCCCTGTAAAGCACAAGGCACATTTGATGCTATGTGAGGTGACTATTAAAAGAAATACTTTCCTTGAAAATGCTCCATTAAAGGGAAAAACCTAAGCATTTATTTTTACCCTCCAGCAGGAAATGTATTCCTGGGTAATCAAATACCCAAAATTGATGAGAGAAGGCTCTGTTTCACAAGGAAATGTCAGCTGATAACTATAGAATGAGTGACAGAATTATGAAAAGCATTTTGCAAACTCTAATGTAATTGAGCCAGGCACGAATTTTCAATTGCTGTTAAGGCTATGAGGCAAATGGAAATACAGCTGTCCTCCAGTATCTGTGGAGGATTGGTCCTAGGACCTCCTTTGGATACCAAAATCCAGAGATGCTCAAGTCCTTGATATAAAATGGTACACTATTTGTGTATAACCAATGTATATCCTGCTATATAATTAAAATCATCTCTATATTACTTATAATACCTAATACAATGTAAATGTTATATAAATAGTTGTTATACATTATTGTTTAGGGAATAACTACAAGAAAAATGTCTGTACCTCTTCAACACAAATTTTGTTTTCTGATATTTTATATCCATGGTTGCTTGAAAACACAGGTTCAGAACCCATGGATATGGATGGCCGACCATATAAGCATATAATGACTAAAACACAAGTGAGACCTCATCACTCCTCTGACCAGAACTCACAATTGGCCCCCATTTCACTCCCAGTAAGAGCCCAAGTCCTTAAAGGCCCGCAAAGTCTTACACAATCTTGCTCCATTACTTCTCTGACCTCAACCTTGCTGTGTCTCCCCTCACTCATGTTTCTCCAGCTACGTTGACCTCCTGACTATTCTTTGGATACATGGATCACAAACCCTCCTGAGGGTCTTTCAGTCACTGTCCCTGCTGTCTGGATTGTTCTTCCCCAAGATACCTGTGTGGCTTTTTCCTGATACAGGTCCTTGTCAAGGGCCAACTTCCGGACACCCTATGTACAAGCACACTCCACCTTATTGCTACCCTCTGGCACTCCCAGCTTTTCTTACCCAACTCTCTTCTTTTTCCTAAGAGGCCCTTATCAACTGCTAACCTATGATATTGTTTGCTTACGTTGGGAGGCAGAGATTTTTGTCTTTGGTTCACTGCAAAAATCCCAGGCATCTAGAGCAACACGTGCAACATGGTAATTGCTCAAATATTTGTTTAATGTATTGCATAAAAGGCATATGGACAAAGGAGCCTGTCATAAATCTCATTTGGTCTGTGGCTCTTGCCCTGCCTCCACATGCAGTTGTTACACAGGTCAAAAGTGTAGACTGGCCTCTGTACAAGAAGGGGTAATCCTGGCCCATGGGCATACACTACCATAAATATGTGAGAAGTGATGCCTAATTAGAGGATAAAATAAATGTATAATGCTGAGAAATTAATGAGCTTTGGGAAAAGAGTATCAGCACCTCTGACAAAGAAATTTCTTTAAAAAAATCCTGAAAATGCAGCAGAGGCCAAGAGAGAAGGCAGCACCAATTTTCAGACCTGAGGCTTCTCTGCTTCAAAGATGCAGAAGTTTTGCTTCTCATAAACTTTATTAAGCAGCTATCAGAAGTCTCTCGATGTCTAGGCGGCTTCTCTAAATGTTCCTCATTTTCTGAGCTATTCTAGAAGCCACCCAGGGTCTGCCGCTGGTGAAACAGTAATTCATCTGGGCAGGAAATAAGACAATCTGCTTCTTGAATCTAGAAGGACCGTTCTTCTCTCTGGAATCAAGAAGCAGAGGGGAGGAGGCAGAGGCAAGCAGCAAAACATTCATGTAGACTGCGAAGCAATTCCATGTTCCCTTCTGCAATTGGCTCTGTCTTCCTTTGTTCCTAGGATTCTGATTTTTATGTTTTCCATTCCGGTGGTTTAAGAACCACATGACCTACAATTCATGAGGCCACAAAATGGGTAACAAGGGTCTCCAAAATCTATGAACACTAGAACACTGCCTAGATTGAATATCAGATTTTACAATTTATACACCTATTTTTGAGATATAGATGTTACTGGGGATATTGAAGAATCCATTAAAAGTGTTGCTGAATTTACATTGTTTTGTCATAACACTCAATGCAGTAACCTTTTGTCACAATGGCTTAAATAAACTCACATTGTTAATGTCACAATATTAGACAAAATCTACTGTGGGGAAAAAATAGGGTGGGGATAAGCCACCTAAACCAAGCCCATCATTTACATGCTTAATATGATGGGGAACTAGATACAGGGAGAGACCATAAGGTTTCATGGTGAAATGACCAGAGGCTTGGTAGGGTCCAGGTCTTTGGACATTGGTCCCAATGCCCTCTCAACAGCCACACTAACCTGCCAGCCAACCCCGCAGCCTTCCAACATTCCTCATTGAATAGATGTTCCCCTTACCCTTTGACATACGAGGGTTTAACCTCTACCAGGGCAGTCTGAATCGGGTGGCTAGAGTGCCCAGCTGATAGGAGGGTCTTTACTCTTCAAGGTAAGACCTGCTTCTTGCAAAAGAACCAGCTGTTGTCCATCCACAGGCAGTGGACCATGTGTAGTAATTAAAAGGAGTTGCTCAAAACCTAATTCTTCCCCTCCCACTCCCCAAAGAACTGATCAGCTGACTGTCCTGCTGCTTCTCTCACTCCCAACTAATTTGTTCCTCAGACTGTAGCCTGAGTGGTATTTTCAAAATGGAAATCCATGAATTCATTCAACAAGCCTTTGAGCACCTAGTGCACGCTGTGCACTGAAGACACATCAGTGGGCACAAAGAATCTATCCCGTGGAGCTTACATAGAAGTAGTGGGATACAGTAAATAAAGACATGTGAGAATGGAAAATGCAGGGCAGGGAATGGAGAGACATGGGGAGGGGAAACTGGGGAGTGTCTCCTATTCTTTTAAAGACTAGAACCAAAATCCTGAATAGGCCTGCAGGGATCTTCAGGACGTGGACCCAGGCTGCCTTTCCTGGCAGCCTCATCTTATGCTGAACATCTTCTCATATCTACAACCAGCTAGAGAGGCTTTGCTTCAGAACCTGACATCTCCTGTCACACCTCCTACCCTGAGGCCTTTGCATAAGCTTTTCCTTCTACATAGAATCTTGATCCCTCTCCTCCTCCCTTCCCTAGTGAATTCTTTGGAAGATTCATTTGCCATTTCACTGGGAAAGCCTTCCCTGACTCCCTCCTGGCAATGTGGTGCTTTTCCTTCAGAGTGTTTGCCTCATCCTTAATTTGCATTCTTATTATTTGATTAATGTCTGTTTCTTCCATCAAAATGTAAACTCCATGAAGGCAGAGACCATGTATTATTTGGCCCATCCTAATAAGTAATCTAATAGAAGTTTCATAGATATGTAGAATTAATAAAGAAATTATCTAAAGATGTTCTTTATGGACTAAGTGCTTCTTATGACCCTGCTGAGTTTTTTTTGTAATTGAAGCTAAAGTCACATGACTTAAAATTAACCATTTTAACATGTACAAATCGTGGCATTTAGTACATTTTCAATGTTGTGAAACCATCACCTTGATCTAGTTTTAGCATTTTTATCCCAAAGAAAGAAACCCTCCCCATTAAGCAGTCACTCCCTATTCCCCTTTGCCCAGTCCCTGGCAACCACTCAGCTGCTTTCTGTCTCTTTGGATTTGACTATTCTGGATATTTTATAAGTGCTATTATATAACATGTGGCTCTTTGTGTCTGGCTTTCACTTAGCAATGTTTCTGAAATTGCTTTTCTCTGTAGCAGGCATCAGAACTTTATTTCTTTTTATGGCCGAGCAACATTCCATTGTACTGATATGCCATATTATGTTTATCCATTCATCATCTGATGGCCATTTGAGTTGTTTTCATTTTTTTTTCTCTTTTATCTTTTAGAGCCAGGGTCTTTCTCTGTTGCCCAGGCTGTAGTGCAGTGGCACAATCACAGCTCACCGCAGCCTCTAACTCCTGAGTACAAGTGATCTTCCCAGCTTCCTGAGTAGCTGGAGCTACAGGCATATGCTGCCATGCCTGGCAATTGTTTTTTATGTTTTGTAGAGACAGGTCTCACTATGTTGACCAGGCTGAATTGGACTGTTTTCATTTACTTTTTGATGACTATGAGTGGTGCAGCTATGACCATTTGTTTACGTGTATGTGTGTGCGTGTGTGTGTGTGTGTGTATGTATGTGCGTTTGAATAACTGTTTTTAATTCTTTTGCATGTATACTAAGGAGTGGAACTGTGGAATTGTACTGTAGTTCTCTGTTTAACTTTTTCTGTACTGTAATTCTGTTAAACTTTTTGAGGCCTTTTGTGTAACAGCTACCTATGTTTGCAGTTGCTGAGGTTTGCTTCTTTGCCAACATTCTGTGTTACCAGACTGCCAGGTCTCCACAACTTGTCCTCATGCTACTTTGCCAGGTGGCAGAGTAAGTTTAATCATGCTCTGGGAGAACATCGTAGGTCCCTTGCCTCAGAATCCCATCAGTATGTGTCCTTCACCCCCAGTGATTTTCCTCTTACCTCCTTCCTCATTCTCTCTGACCTTCTCCTTCCAATGCATGACCTGCTTTTTATCTAAAAACCAGTAAGCTCCATGGAGGAAACAGGTTTTATTTTTTATTTATTTTCTTGAGACAGAGTCTCGCTCCGTCACCCAGGCTGGAGTGCAGTGGCGCAGTCTCAACTCACTGCAATCTCCACCTCCCAGGTTCAAGGGATTCTCGTGCTGGGACTATAGGCGTGAGCCACCACGCTAGAGTAATTTTTGTATTTTAAGTAGAGATGGGGTTTCACCATGTTGGCCAGGCTAATCTTGAACTCCTGGCCTCAAGTGATCCACCTGCCTCAGCCTCCCAAAGTGCTGGGATTACAGGTGTGAGCCACTGTGCCCAGCCAGAAACAGGTTTTAAATGACCCCTTGCAGTGAAAAGTTGCAAGAAAAGTTTTGATAGAAAAAGACATTTTCCTTGACTCTATTCATTTACTTAGGTGAGCTATTTTTGAAGTTTTGTAAATGGGGAAATTATTTAATCTGAGTCAATGCTCCCATCTATATGAGTGTAGGAATACTACATGTATTGTAGAGGTGAATGAGAAATATGGGTAAGAGGTCTAGAATTATGCCTGGCAGGTAGCACACTTCAATATAAAACAGTCATTTGTTATTTTTCTCCAAGCCAAGACGCTATAGCAGAGAAACAATATTACATTCATAATTATTTGCTTCAGTCAGTAAATTAATGATTTTTTTCTTTTATATGTTCTTTAGTGAGAAGCTGCAATATTCAACAGATCAGATGGTGATTAAACCTTCCTATGGCTTTTCATCGCATTTAGACTAAAACCCAAGCTCCAAGCTCCTTCCAAGGCCTCCTGGGATTCACGTGATCTGGCTCCTGCCTCTTCCTTCAGCTGTATTCTCAGGCCTCTCCCAATTTCACCTGCTCCAGCCATGCTGACTTGCTGTTCTGGTGACCTCAATTTCTTGCCACTAAGGTCCTTGGCATTAGCTGATGAACGGCCTTGAACTATGTCCCCCAAACGTCCCCAGGCTTCTGTTTTCAAATTAATGAATTGCCTCCATTCAGACAGACCATTCCTTATGCTTTACATTTAAAACAGATAATTTTTGGGGGCACTGCATGATTTTTGTTTTCCTTTAAAAAGTGATTATTTGTTTACTTGGCTGTGGTAGGTTCCCACTTTCTAAACTATGAACTACATTAAGCACAAAAACCTTGTATTGCTTTTTCCTATACACAAAGAACCTTCTACAAACCTCCCCTTTGTCAAATGAAAAAAGTCATGATTTGTCTTCCATCCCTGGTATCCAAACTGTCTCCAGTTACTTTATCTCCAATTCCACAGGCAAGTAAAAAACGATAATAAGAGACAATACAGGTATGGCTGGCAAGATGGATGAATAGGAACAGATCCAGTGTGCAGCTCCCAGCAAGATCAACTCAGAAGGTGGGTGATTTCTGCATTTCAAACTGAGGTACCTGACTTATCTCACTGGGACCAGTTAGACAGTTGGTGCAGTCCACAGAGGGCAAGCCAAAGCAGGGTGAGATGTCATGTAACCCGGGAAGTGCAAGGAGATGGGGAACTCCTTCCCCTAGTCAAGGGAAGCTGTGAGGGACTGTGCCATGATGAACGGTGCACTCCAGCCCAGATACTTTGCTTTTCCTACAGTCTTCACAACCCACAGACCAGGAGATTCCCTCGGGTGCCTACACCACCAGGGCCTTGGGTTTCAAGCACAAAACTGGGAGGCCGTTTGGGCAGACACTGAGCTAGCTGCAGGAGTTTTTTTTTCATACCCAAGTGGCACCTGGAATGCCCGTGAGACAGAACCATTCACTCCCCTGAAAAGGGGGCTGAAGCCATGGAGCCAGTGGTCTAGCTCAGCAGATCCCACCCCTACAGAGCCAAACAAGCTAAGATCTACTGGCTTGAAATTCTTGCTGCTAGCACAGCAGTCTGAAGTCCACCTGGGATGCTTGAGCTTGGTGGGGGGAGGGGTGTATGCCATTACTGAGGCTTGAGTAGGAGGTTTTCCCCTCCCAGTGTAAACAAAGCCACAGGGAAGTTTGAACTGGGGAGAACCCACTGCAGCGATGCATAGCCACTGTAGCCAGACTTTCTCTCTAGATTCCTCCTCTCTGGGCAGGGCATCTCTGAAAGAAAGGCAGCAGCCCCAATCAAGAGCTTATAGATAAAACTCTCTCCCTGGGACAGAGCACCTGGGGGAAGGGGCAGCTGCAGGTGCAGCTTCAGAAGACTTAAATATTCCTGCCTGCCAGCTCTGAAGAGAGCGGTGGATCTCCCAGCACAGTGCTCCAGCTCTGCTCAGGACAGACTGCTTCCTCAAGTGGGTCACTGATCCCCGTGCCTCCTAACTGGGAGACACCTCCCAGCAGGGGTCGACAGACACCTCATGCAGGAGAGCTCTGGCTGGCATCTGGCGGGTGCCCCTCTTGGATGAAGTTTCCAGAGGAAGAACACACAGCAATCTTTGCTGTTCTGCAGCCTCCACTGGTGATACCCAGGCAAACAGGGTCTGGAGTGGACCTCCAGCAAGCTCCAGCAGACCTGCAGCAGAGGGGGCTGACTCTTAGAAGGAAACCTAACAAACAGAAAGGAATAGTATCAACATCAATAAAAAGGACGTCCACACAAAAACCCCATTTGAAGGTCACCAACATCAAAGACAAAAGGTAGATAAATCCACGAAGATGAAGAAAAACCAGCACAAAAAGGCTGAAAATTGCATAAACCAGAACGCGCCTCTTCTCCTCCAAAGGATCACAACTCCTCACCAGCAAGGGAACAAAAGTGGTTGGAGAATGAGTTTGATGAATGAGCCTGTTGGAAGCAGGCTTCAGAAGGTGGGTAATAACAAACTCCTCCGAGCTAAAGCAGCATGTTCTAGCCCAATGCAAGGAAGCTAAGAACCTTGAAAAAATGTTACATGAATTGCTAACTAGAATAACCAGTTTAGAGAAGAATACAAATGACCTGATGGAGCTGAAAAACACAGCACGAGAACTTTGTGAAGCATATACAAGTATCAATAGCCAAATCGATCAAGCAGAAGAAAGGATATCAGAGACTGAATATCAACTTAATGAAATAAAGTGTGAGGACAAGATTAGAGAAAAAAGAATGAGAAGGAACAAACAAAGCCTCCAAGAAATATGGGAGTACGTGAAAAGACCAAACCTATGTTTGATTGGTGCACCTGAAAGTGATGGGGAGAATGGAACCACGTTGGAAAACACTCTTCAGGATATTACCAGAAGAACTTCCCTGACCTAGCAAGACAGGCCAACATTCAAATTCAGGAAATACTGAGAACACCACAAAGATATTCCTCGAGAAGAGCAACCCCAAGATGCATAATCGCCAGATTCACCAAGGTTGAAATGAAGGAAAAAAATGTTAAGGGCAGCCAGAGAGAAAGGCCAGGTTACCCACAAAGGGAAGCCCATCAGACTAACAGTGGATCTCTCTGCAGAAAAACTACAAGCCAGAAGAAAGCGGGAGCCAATATTCAACATTCTTAAGGAAAAGAATTGTCATCCCAGAATTTCATATCCAGTCAAACTAAGCTTCATAAGTGAAGGAGAAATAAAATCCTTTACAGACAAGCAAATGCTAAGAGATTTTGTCACTACCAGGACTGCCTTACAAGAGCTCCTGAAGGAGGCACTAAACATGGAAAGTAACAACCGGTACCAGCCACTACAAAAATATACCAAATTTTAAAGACCATCGAAATTATGAAGAAACTGCGTCAACTCATGGATAAAATAAGCAGCTAGCATCATAATGACAGGATCAAATTCACACATAACAATATTAATCTTAAATATAAACAGGCTAAATGCCCCATTAGAAGACACAGACTGACAAATTGGATAAAGAGTGAGGAACCATCAGCGTGCTGTATTCAGGAGACCCATCTCACCTGCAAAGACACACATAGGCTCAAAATAAAGGGGTGGAGAAATATTTACCAAGCAAAAGGAAAGCAAAAAAATGAGGGGTTGCAATCCCAGTCTCTGATAAAACAGACTTTAAACCAACAAAGACAAAAAAAGACAAGGGCATTACATAATGGTAAAGGGATCAATGCAACAAGAAGAGCTAACTATCCTAAACATATATGCACCCAATACAGGAGCACCAAGATTCATACAGCAAGTTCTTAGGGACCTAAAGAGAGACTTAGACTCCCACACAATAATAGTGGGAGACTTAACACCCCACTGTCAATATTAGACAGATCAATAAGACAGAAAATTAACAAGGAAATCTAGGACTTGAACTCAGCTCTGCACCAAGTGGACCTAATAGACATCTACAGACCTCTGCACTCTAAATCAACAGAATATACATTCTTCTCAGCACCACATATCACTTATTGTAAAATTGACCACATAATTGGAAGTAAAACACTCCTCAGCAAATGCAAAAGAACGGAAATCATAACAAACAGTCTCTTAGACCACAGTGGAATCAAATTAGAACTCAAGATTAAGAAACTCCCTCAAAACCACACAACAAATGGAACTGAACAACCTTCTCCTGAATGACTACCAGTTAAATAATGAAATGAAGGCAGAAATAAAGAAGTTCTTTGAAACCAATGAGAACAAAGACACTACATACTGGAATCTCTGGGACACAGCTAAAGCAGTGTGTAGAGGGACATTTATAGCACTAAATGCCCACAGGAGAAAGCATGAAAGATCTAAAATTGACACCCTAACATCATAATGAAAAGAACTAGAGAAGCAAGAGCAAACAAATTCAAAAGCTAGCAGAAGGCAAGAAATAACTAAGAACAGAGCAGAACTGAAGGAGATAGAAACACAAACAAAAACCCTTCAAAAAAAAAAAAATCAATGAATCCAGGAACTTGTTTTTTGAAAAGATTAACAAAATAGACCACTAGCCAGATTATTAAGAGAGAAAAATCAAATATACACAATAAAAAATGATAATGGGGATGTCACCACTGATCCCACAGAAATACAAACTACCATCAGAGAATACTATAAACACCTCTACACAAATAAACTGGAAAATCAAGAAGAAATTGATAAATTCCTGGACATATACACCCTCCTAAGACTAAACCAGGAAGAAGTCGAATCCCTGAATAGGCCAATAACAAGTTCTGAAATTGAGGCAGTAATTATTAGCCTATTAATCAAAAAAAGCCCAGGACCAGATGGATTCACAGCTGAATTTTACCAGAGGTGCAAACAGGAGCTGGTACCATTTTTTTTCTGTAACTATCCAAACAATAGAAAAAGAGGGACTCCTCCCTAACTCATTTTATGAGGCCAGTATCATCCTGATACCAAAACCTGGCAGCAACAAAACAACAACAAATTTCAGGCCAATATCCCTGATGAACATCGATGTGAAAATCCTCAATAAAATACTGGGAAACTGAATCCAGCAGCACATGGAAAAGCTTATTCACCACGATCAAGTTGGCTTCATCCCTGGGATGCAAGGCTGGTTCAACATACACAAATCAATAAATGTAATCCATCACATAAACAGAACCAATGACAAACACCACATGATTATCTCAATAGATGCAGAAAATGCCTTTGATAAAATTCAATACCCTTTTATGCTAAAACCTCTCAATAAACTAGGTACTGATGGAATGTATCTCAAAATAATAAGAGCCATTTATGACAAACCCACAGCCAATATTATACTGAATGGGAAAAAGCTGGAAGCATTCCCTTTGAAAAACAGTACAAGATGATAATGCCCTTTCTCACCACTCCTATTCAACATAGTATTAGAAGTTCTGGCCAGGGCAATCAGGCATGAGAAAGAAATAAAGCATATTCAAATAGGAAGAGAGGGAGTCAAATTGTCTCTGTTTGCAGATGACATGATTGTATATTTAGAAAACCCCATTATCTCAACCCCAAATTCCTTAAGCTGATAAGCAACTTCAGCTAAGTCTCAAGATAAGAAATCAATGTGTAAAAATCACAAGCATTCCTATACACCAATAACAGACAAACAGAGAGCCAAATCATGAGTGAACTCCCATTCACAATTACTACAAAGAATAAAATACCTAGAGTATAACTTACAAGGGATGTGAAGGACATCTTCAAGGAGAACTACAAAACACTGCTCAAGAAAATAAGAGAGGACACAAACAAGTGGAAAAACATGTCATGCTCATGGATAGGAAGAATCAATATCATGCAAATGGCCATACTGCCCAAAGTAGTTTATAGATTCAATGCTATTCCCATCAAGCTACCATTGACTTCTTTCACAGAATTAGAAAAAAACTACTTTAAATTTCATATGGAACTAAAAAAGAGCTCATATAGCCAAGACAATCCTAAGCCAAAAGAACAAAGCTGGAGGCATCACACTACCTGACTTCAAACTATACTACAAGGCTACAGTAACCAGAACAGCATGGAACTGGTACCAAAACAGATATATAGACCAATGGAACAGAACAGAGGCCTCAGAAATAACAACACATATCTACAACTATCTGATCTTTGACAAACCTGACAAAAACAAGCAATGAGGAAACGATGCCCTATTTAATAAATGGTGTTGGGCAAACTGACTAGCCATATGCAGAAAACTGAAACTGGACCTCTTCCTTACATCTTATACAAAAACTAACTCAAGATGGATTAAAGACTTAACATAAGATCTAAAACCGTAAAAACTAAAAGGTAATAGCATTGGCAACGAAACCAAAAGCAATGGCAACAAAAGCCAAAACTGACACATGGGATCTAATTAAACTAAAGAGCTTCTGCACAGCAAAAGAAACTATCATTAGAGTGAATAGGAAACCTACAGAATGGGAGAAAATTTTTGCAATCTATCCATCTGACAAAGGACTAATATCCAGAATCTACAAGAAACAAACAAATTTACAAGAAAAAAACAACCCCCTCAAAATGTGGGCAAAGGATATGAACAGACACTTCTCAAAAGATGACATTTATGCAGTCAACAAACATATGAAAAAAAGCTCATAATCACTGGTCATTAGAGAAATGCAAATCAAAACCACAATGAGATACCATCTCACATCAGTTAGAATGGTGATCATTAAAAAGTCAGGAAACAACAGATGCTGGAAAGTATGTGGAGAAATAGGAACACTTTTACACTGTTGGTGAGAGTGTAAATTAGTTTGACCATTGTGGAAGACAGTGTGACGATTCCTCAAGGATCTAGAACCAGAAATACCATTTGACTCAGCAATCCCTTTACTGGGTATATACCCAAAGGATTATAAATCATTCTACTATAAAGACACATGCACACGTATATTTATTGCAGCACTATTCACAGTAGCAAAGACTTGGAACCAATCCAAATGCCCATCAATGACAGACCAGATAAAGAAAATGTGGCACATATACACCATGGAATACCATGCAGCCATAAAAAAGGATGAGCTCATGTGCTTTGCAGGGACATGGATGAAGCTGGAAACCATCATTCTGAGCAAACTAACACAGGAACAGAAAACCAAACACTGCATGTTCTTACTCATAAGTGGGGTTGAACAATGAGACACATGGACACAGGGAGGGGAACATCACACACTGGGGCCTGTCAGGGGGTGGGGGTGGTAGGGGAGGGATAGCATTAGGGGAAATACCTAATATAGGTAACGGGTCGATGGGTATATCAAACCACCATAGCACATGTATACCTGTTTAACAAACCTGCACATTCTGCACATATATCCCAGAACTTAAGGTATAATAAAAAGAGACAATATAAAAGCATTTCCATTTACACATATGGAGATGCTGCTGCCTTTTAAAGCCACTTTGATATTGAAAGTGGGGGGGAGGGGTCACAGTTTTTAGTGGGTTATGAAGAAAAATACTGTGAGCACCCCTTCTCAGGAAAATGAAATGATAGGGACATAATACCAAATTTTCTAATATTTATTAAAAATAAGAAAGTGGGGAAAGGAAGAAAAATGTCGTCATGTAGAAGGCTTTTGGGAGACAGGGTGGTGATATGAGGAACTAAAAAGGGGTATGAGGAAACTTTGGGGGTGACGGATGTGTTTTTGGTCTTCATTGTGGTAATGGTTTCACAGGGTATGTCTAAGTTACAAATTGTATGTTTTTAATATTATATGCAATTATAATTGCAATTATAGTATAATACGTGCAATTATATGCATCTCTCCCCCCAAAAAAGATTTATACTTTTCAGAGAGAGTTCTTGTACTTTTTTCAGTGACATGAGTAATACATGTTCATCACAAATATTTTTTAAAATACAAATAAGCAAAACCAGTTTATTATATGCAATTATACCTTGAGTAAGCTGTTAAAAACTAAACAAAATTAGATGACAATGAACAGCAACAGATTTTCTCTGGCTGGGAGGCTCAGGATCTAAGCTCCTGTCAGTGGATATAATGTATCTCACTGATTCTGGGAATTCTGGAATGGGACACTCTTGAGGTCCTTTTCCCAGAGTGTGAGACAGCTGCCGTCCAGCCCTCCTCAGCTCCACCCTCAAGAGGGCTCCCTTCCCTGGTGGAGCAGAGGCAAGGAATCCCCCATCAGCCACTCCAAGGGAAGCCTTCCAGCCCAGACAAGAATGCTCTGGGCAGACGTTGTGTCGTTGTGGTTGTTGTGTTATTTTTCCCCGCATAAGAGTGTGGAGCTCAGACACAGATCAGTAGCTCCTGTAGAAAATCCACCACTTCCTGTGCAGCCATCCCAGTCACCTCTCCTGATCCTGCGCCTTCCATCTCCCAGCCTTCCCCCAACTACTGAGTAGTTCTCCAGGTTATGGACAAGACATCCCTACCCCTTTGATCTTTTCTTTTTCTTTTCCCATTTTTCTTCATGCACATTTTCTTTCTCTTTTATTCTTGTTCTAGTCTCCTTTTAAATATGAAATTAATATTTATTAAACACTGTGGGGCCAAGCGCTTTAATTTAATCCTTAAAACCACCACAGGAAACGGTTTCTGTCATGATTCCCATTTTATAGATGAGCAAAACGATGCAGTGACAAGTTCATGGCTTGCTGATGCCCTGCCTCTTGTAAATGCAGAGATAGGATTGAACCTCCGTCCCCTCCAGAGTCTCAGCTCTTAACTTCTAAATATACCTCCTTTCATGATTTTCCCAAATTGTCCTCATTCTTTTCCCTTTACACAGGTGTTAATGTATGTGCTACTGCCATTAGGTGAAGTATTGTTTATGAAATGTATTTAATGTAGAAGTGCATTAAATGGCATAGAAAATGATTATTGCATACTGTTACACATAAAGAACACATTCAATAATTATGTACATTAAGATTAGGCCATATGTATACAACAAGTTAGAAGCATATACACCAAAATATATCTGCATTATGGGATGGTAGATAAGATTTACATTTTTTTTTTATTTGTGGTTTAAAAATATTTGTGATGAACACATATTACTCATGTCATTGAAAAAAGAACAAGAACACTCTCTGAAAAGTATAAATCCTTTTGGGGGGTAGAGAAGTTTTTTTTTTTTTTTTTTTTTTTTTTAAGTCTTATAATCTCGGTTCTTTCTGACTAGCAGGTGGCGCCTCATCTCTTCCAGGAGCAACACAATGTGATTGCTCTGAAGTTGTAGGAAAATATCAAAGGTGCAAATCAAAACACATCTGAAGCAAAACTCCGTTCTCAGCTCAGAATGGGGGATTTCTTCCCTAAGAGTCACCACAAGCCAAACTGAGAAGGACCTCTGTCTGGGGAATGCTTTGCAAATATTGCGAACTTCACACCAAAGCCACATTCTACCTAAGATTTCTGCATCTCCTCCACCTCCACTACCTCTTTTCTTCTTCTTCTGGGTTTGGAACTTCCATTTATACCTACCTTTAAAATCTGTCATTGTTTGCTCTTGATACAGTGTTAAGAGAAACTTTAAAGTTTCTTACACTTCCCCACTTGATTTTGAATCAGTTCAAGTAAAGAGTTATGTCTGCTTTGTTTCTCAGTGTATCTCCAGTAGCTAAGGATTCATTCATTAAATTAAAAGTAGTTAGAATGCCTGTTTTGTTCTGAACACTGGGCTGAGTGCTGGGGATTTAGTAAGAAAAAGGTAGATGATGTTGAGGCCTCCCTAGCTTATGGGGAAAGGGCAACCAATAAACATGCCGTCAAAGCAAACATTGATAGATTCTGAAAAGTACCATGAAGGGAATACACAAAGCGATGCAATGAAGAGTAATTGAGGGGCTGATTTTAGATGTGGTGGTCAGGAAAGGCCTTACAGATAACATTTGAGTTGAGAATTGAAACTAAGATGGTTGAATAGGGAGTACATGGTAGGTATTCATTGAATATTTGGTTCATAAATGAATAGGTCAACTATTTTTCCATCATACCCAACAGTACTTTTTATACAGTAGGACACCAATAAGTTGTTGAACTTTGTTCAGAGAATAGGTTATTGAACTCCTGTTATCTGCTAAGCACCATGTCTTATAGATGACACCTTACTTAACCTCCCTAGTGACCACATGAGGTAGTTATTTATTTTCCTACATTCTGCTGTTGAGTAAAATAAAGTTAATTTGCCCAAGGTCACCCAGCTGATGCATCAGAGACCACGATCCAAGCTCTCATCTGTTGGGTACCTTCCAAAATATACCTACTTCTACTAATTCCTGATGGAGGAAAGGTATGAGGTCATATACAAAAAGAGTTTAATCAGAAAACTAACTAAAAATAAGCACATTACTATTTACATGGTAAAAATTCAAAACCAAATGGTAGTTTTATAGAAGTCACTTGCTCTTTTAAGTGTGACGTAAAATTCTAGAAAAATGAGACCTTGTAAAAAGAAAATTTAGTCTCATTGCATTGGTAATACCTCAAATAGATGCTAAGACTTCTACAAAGTATTCCAGTGGGCACGAGGGTTGAAGGACTGAGTGAGGCTTGGAACCCTATTTTCTAGGTGTTGCAATTAATTTGCTATATGACCTTAAAGAAACAAACTCACTACTTTCAAGTTCAGGGTCCCTAATTATGCCCTTGCTGTCAAACACTCAGCAACATGAGAGATTTTGGCAAATGTATAGGTGAGACCTACACGGATTAAACTTTCCTGAAAATGGAGAAATACCAGGCATTTGATGAAACAAAGAATGGCATAGTTGAAAACATTCTTGAAGTCGGTTCTGAGAGAAGGGAATGGAGCTCATGACAGAGGAAAAAGGAATAATGTCAGGCTGAGAACTGAGCATGATAGAGAAAAGTTTGGGCATCTTTTCTTCCAAATATCCATAGACTCACTGATAGCAGTGCTTAGTATTTTCTATTTTTCTGTTATGGGACCTATCAGAGGGTTCAACACATATTAGGTGCTTAACAAGTGACTGATTAATAATTTCAAATGTTCTGAGAGATTGGAAGGGACACATTGATTAGTAAGTGATAGAGAAAACAAAAATCACAAAGTCAGATGACTAAAGGGGTCCTCTGTGTAAGCCTTGGAAGTTTGTAATCAACAATTAGGATGGGCACAGAGGATGAGCCTACCTGTGTTTGAACGGGTGCACGTGAGAACCTGCTAGGAGGATCTGTGGATGCCAGCACTGGATTTAGAAGAGAAATGTCAGCAACTACTTTGCCTTAAAAACTAATGATAATATTAACTGTTAACAACAACAGTGAATGGCTATTTATTACTAGCCATGTGACAGACTAAAAAGGAAGGAGTCTTAGAGATGATCCACTCAAACCATGATAGCTTATAGACAGAGAAGCTGATGCCCAGAAACGTGCTTAGGGCTATGTATAGCTTGCTTAGATCAGACCCAAGACTGGAACCTGGTCTGCTGACTAGAAGTTTCTAAGTTGCCAAGATGGGCTTTAAAGAAGCCTCTCCCAGTTCTCGATGTGGTGAGACTGAGCAGGTTGCAGATACCAGAGCTTGAAGCCTCCCCCATGCAGTCCCCAGCTCAGCATCCCTAGAGCACAGAAAGAGGCACTTCCAGCAGGCCTTGGTGTACACGCTCTCACAGGTCCAAACACATTTTGTCTGCACTGGGAGTAGCTTTACAGAGTCATCAAAGGATCAGAGCCACAGAGCATTTACTCTGTAAATGGAAAACTTGCAATAACACGAATCTGCTTTATCCTGTTGCACAAAATGCCAACTACCTAACAATTTGATGGTCCATTGCAAATTAAATATTACAGAAGCCATGCCTACAGTTTTACTATCATTTTTCCATTCCATTTAGATTATGGTAGAGCCACCCTCTCATCATTTAAGGTATCTCTGTCACATGCTTGACAAAAATGCAGCACAGCTACTTCCTTATCTCACACAGAAGATTAGAACAGGAGCACAGTGTTGCTTGCCTGCCCTTCTTGTATTTTCCTTCAATAAAGAGGAGGTTAGGTGTGCAGAGCAGCTGTAAACTGAAGCTCTATTTGCACCCGAGGTCAGCAAGGAATAGACTCAGCTTTAGGTGTCTGTTACTCTGGCTAGCAGCCTAGGTTGGTGTCTGCCTGGTGAATAAAGAGGCAGAACATATGGGAAGTCAGGATATCTATGGGTCATCCTCACCTGACAGTTTCTTCGCCATAGGCTTGAGTACTGATGGCGTCAGCAGTAAAAGCTTCAACAAGCCCACCTGAGGGGGCTTCCTGATGAGGTTACCACCTGTACTACCCTGCTCCCCTGGAAAAGCTCCCAGCAGGCAAGGAAGAGGCTAGTGTTTTTTGTTTTTTTTTTACTATCACGAAGTTGGATATGGTTTCCTGCTTTTTAAAGGGGGCTTACATTCAGAAAACTGCAGAACATTGTTAGTCTAGTGGTTGATAGTATAAAGTCTCAGAGTCAGACTGCCAGGGTTTCCACTTCCTAGCTAGGTAACCTACTTAATCTCTTTGAGCCTCATATCCTTATCTATGTATTGAGATGGAGATATCGATAGTCTTTGCATTATAGGGCAACTGTGAGGAATAGATTTTGGGTCTTGACAATCTGCACATGGATGTAAGATAGGTGCACAGTCCTGACAAGGTACATGGTATCACATTACTAATCTAAAGATCTCTCTATAGCTATATATTTGCCTGTATGTCTGGGTGTGCGTGTGTATGTTTCATATTACCTACAATGTATATTTCAGCTAATGTGATACCTTGTCAAGACTGTCTGCCCAACTTGCAATACATATTTTAGGCAAAATATATATTTTGCCAACATCAGCAAGAGTGAAGGAAAGGGATGAGCAGATTCTTGAATTATGTACAATAATGTATCTATAATGTTCTGAAGAGCAGTTGGCACGAAGCTGTACAAATGACAGCTATTATAATCATAGGAACGTGGGGGCTGGTGGCACTTCTGTTGCCAACATTAACCATGTGTTTATTTTCATGGAGACCTTATGCTTCCCATAGATGCCAGCATAAGACAGCGTGGCTTCACATGGTGCCTGACTGTGAAGTGTGAGAAGCATAGAATGACAGCTGGAAGGGGACAAGGGGATTTGGAGAATATTGAAACAAACTCTAGCTATTTTGCAAATGGGGAGACTGAGGCCCAAAGAGAGGAGGAGATTCTTTAAGGCTATTCAATGAGTGAGAAAATGTGTAAAGTTTAAACAAACTGGAAGAAAGATTATAGCTAGCAGTTATTGAACAGTAACTCCGGACTGGGTATTATACCAAGCCCTTACAACAACTCTGCTATTTACATACTACTGTATTGTTAGTCCCATTTTACAGATAAGTAAGCTGAGGCTCAGGGAGTTTAAGAAACCAGCCTAATGTCAGACAGCTAGTTTGGTACCAGAGTTTGTGTTCTTGACTACTACATTATATTGTGTATGCAACTTTTCCTAGTAGAATTGTAGGTAAGGAGGATTTAATTTATATTCAGCCTTGTGGCATAGCCCAGCTTGGCATTTAAGATCCAGATGGGCCTATGTTTAATCCAGCCTCTGCCATTTAATAGTTCTGCTTTTGGCCTGGGGCAAGTTATTCATCTCCTCAAGTCCTGGGTTCCTCAGGTATAAGATAAGACAATCTGTGTCCATAGAGCTGCTGAGAAAATTAAACAGCAAGCATAGCCTAGTGCTTGAGACAGCTAGTTGTGACTCATAGCTCTACCACTGAAACTGTATGTGACATATTTTATAACTTATGTGGGTCCTCAATTTCCTCATCTGCAACACGTTAAATAATAAGACCTTTGCATGGTGGGCTTGTTGTAATAAGTAAAAAAGATCATTTATATAAAGCACTCAACAAAGGACCTGGGACTCAATGAGTGCCTCCTAAATGTTAGCTAGGATTGCTATTATAATGTGTTAAAAAAAAATAACCCAACTGTAGCATGTAACACATTGCAGATAGTCAATAAATGCTGGCTATTAAATGCATGATAAACTGAGTTCTTTTGTAAAATATTAAAAAGCATAAGTATTTATGCTTAGCCTCTTTCAAACCTACCTGCTTTCACTGGCCTGAAAAAAAAAATGTGTCTGGAGTAAGAGGAAGAATGTGGAGAGAGCTAAGGAAGAAATGGGACAATTTTATTTACCCAAAGACTTACAAATTTCCAGAGACCTGCCAATGCCCTTTTTCCATTTTCTCTGCACTCCCTCCATTTTGCTGCTATTATACACAGAAATATGCCCCAAGAAGTTACCTGACTTTTAGATTTTAGATTTTGAACATCAAAAGCTGGGAAAGATAGGTCCTGAGGGAAAATAGAAAATAGCTTCAATTTTCCAAGAACTTACAATGGATCAAGTACTATGCAAGGCATGTTAACGTTGTAAAATATTCTTCTATCTTTCTTGTTAATGTGTGACCATGGAAGTAGATTGTGTTTGGACCTTTGAGACATTTCACTATAGCGGGAGCTTCAAGTACAGGGATCTATTCAGAAGCAGCCTCTGGGAAAAAAAAAACAATCGACCAGTTCACTCTCCATACCCTATGCTACTCAAGTTCTCCTGGGCCAAAAAGGGGTTCCACAGACCCTAAGGAGCAATTTTCACATTTTTCTATAATCCTTCTAAACACTTTGGAAGGAGGAGTCAGTGAAAGGTGTCTTTAGGTCAATTGGTTTTGTTTCCTCTCACCTCTTTCCTGTCACAAGACATTGGTTTATTAACATTAATGTTAAACTCTAGACATTTGGCAGACACTGTAGATTAGCAGATCTATACACCCATCTCTACTTCTTCTCCTTTACTTAAATATACCAGAGTATTTAGAAACCTAAAAGAATTTCCCAGGATCTCTTGCTGCCAGGAGTAGCCACGGGGTACAATTTTGCCCAATGAAACATAACAGAGATCTGTCGGTACCCAGTACCGCCTCTCCTTCTTCCTCCTGCTCGACATGGAGTTGTCATCTTGTGACGATAAGGTACAGGAATAAGAAGCCAATGTGCTAAGGGTGGCAGAGAGGAAAGACAGAAAGCATGGGTCCCTGAAGGCATCGTTGAGTCAATGTATCAACTGGCTGCTTCCCTCTGCCCTTTTAAGCCACTGTAATTGGGTCTTGTTTGACCTGTATGTGACTTATTCCTAACTAATACAGTGAATGGGTATTTGTTATTTGTGGCCACTCAGGCTCCACTCCCTCCTAGATTTCTTTTAAAAGAACAACCTCTTTCCTGTGTGGAGCCCTGGGGAAGGAAGACTGTCAAAATACCCAGCCTTCAGTTTGCCAAGGGGTTGGCATTAATCAAATCGTTTTCTGTAATTCCTGCCATGGAGCCTTAGTTTCCTTTTATAATCTGGTTCTTCGGCCTTCATGCAGGTTCAATAAAAGCTACCTGAAATCTTTCTAATAAATTTCATATTTTCTAGATAGAGCCTGTTTCTGTTGCCTGTAGCCAAGGAACCCTAGTTGATTTTTTTTCTTTAATTTACACAACATTGTTATTGAATAGTTTCTGTCTGCCAGGCAATGTACTAAACGCTAAACTCTTTACCTGCATTATCCTATGCAATTTTTTTTTGAGATAGGTTCTGTTGCCCAGGCTGGAGTGCAGTGGTATGATCAAATGCAGCTTCTGTTTCTGGGCTTAAGCAATCCTCCCACCTCAGGCTCTTGAGTGGGACTACAGGTGTGTGTGACTGCGCCCAGCTAATCTTTAAATTTTTTTGTAGACACAGGATCTCACTATGTTGCCCAGGCTGATCTCAAACTTCTGGGCTCAAGCAATCCTCTTGCTCTGGCCTCCCAAAACATTGGGATTACAGGCATGAGCCACCACTGCACTGGGCCCCATGTAATTCTCACAAACTCCAAACAGCAGAAACTTAAGTCCATTGCAAAGTTGAGGAAACTGAGACTTAAAGAGGTTGAGTGACCTCTCCAATGTCAGCAGCAAAAAGTGTCTATGGCAGAGATAGTACTTGCCAAATACCCATGTGCTACTTGGTACTTTTCAGCCTCCCTTGCATTTAGGTTGGTCCTTGTGACATAAGAGTGATGGTGACATGTCCCACTCCCAGGCTGAGCAGCTAAAAGCTGGTGCGCCTCCTCCATCTCTCATACTCTGCGCCTCAGTGATCTTGAAGAGCTTGGAGGATGACTTGGCTACAGGTTGGATGATGGTCTCCCAACTTAAACAGGACTATGACACAGGGAGGAGTAAACCACTACCCAATAAAGCCACTGGGAGTTCAGTTTGTCTGTTGTGTGTTAGAGTTAAGTATCCTGACCAATGCATTAGCAGGGCTAGAATTTGAAATAATTTCTAGCTCATTACACTATGTCACTATGTGCTATCTTTTTACAAACACAGAACTAAAAGAGGAAATGACATCTACAAAACAAAAAAGAAATGACCCTTTTTGAGCCCCCAAGTCCTCGCCTGGTTCTCTCTCAATTTTCCCTTTGTTTTCCTGCTTTGGATTCAGGCCTATGGAGATCTCCCTAGTGCCATAATGAAATAAGCACACAAGATAATAATTGATATTAGAAAAACCTCCTCTGCCACTTATTGAATGTCCGCTGGCCCATAGTCATTGAACTAGTAAGTGAAAGACTATGGATTCAAACTATGAAAGACCTGATTTCAAAGCTCATACCCAGAATCCAAATGTTTATGTTTCCTGAGTGAGCTGCTCATCTGCTATCGAAGGATTAGGATCAACTGACATTTCTTACTTTTTTGCTTCCTCCTTCTCTTCTACAGATATCTCATCTCCAAGAGGACCCTGGGGTCAGCCAGGTTTGAGGATCACTTACTCTGCCCTCAGCAGGAACACAATGGTGATCTGAAAGGCATGGAGGCTGAAAGCAGAGAACATCCCTGGTTAGGTCCTAGCTCCCAGCATGAGGAGATTGTGGTTATCATCATGATAATGATTTTGCTAATTTTATTCCATCCATCTTCATTCCTCTGCTGAGAGGTTAGCAGGCTATACAGTTTGATGCTTATTATTCCCTTATTCTCACCATCAACACTCCTTCTGTCCTCTCATCAAATCTAAGCTTCTGCTAGCCTTTATGTCCTCCAAGTTCTGACCCTAACTTCCTTATTTCCTACCCACCGCCCTCTGCTTTAGGTAGTGATCTAAATTTAGTTCACTATCTTAAATATTAATCAAATATCTACTATGTGCCAGGTACGGTGCGAGGCTCTGGGGAATGAATGGTGGATGTAACAGATATGGCACCTGCTCACCTTAAGTGGCCTATGATTTTATGGGGGGTCAGACAAAGAAAGGCAATTGCAATGCAGTGTGATGAAGGCTCTGATAGAGAAGGGCAGGCACTGAGGCCCAGATGGCACTTCAGCCCAGACTATGAGGAAGGATGCTCTTTTCAGCACTGTAAGAAGCCAATTTATCTGGCAAAGAATTCAAAACGTGATGGAAGGTAAGACACAGCCAATGCTGTGTGTGTGTGTGTTTTTTTTAATTCTTGGTTCCCAAACAGGACATGCAGCTGCTGGTGACTCCTTTACACAGATACTGTGGCTAGAGAAATGTGATACTAGAGCTTTGGTCTTATCACATAGCACACTGGTTTCTCCATCATGTATGCCATGGTATGGTCCCTGACCACACACATGAGCAGAGGAACACTTTGGAGGGCTATGAGGCTTTTGCAGAACCATTTCTTAAGATGGTAAGTTTCCTGAATGCAGGAGCAGGATCCTGTTAGATATAGAAGGTAACTGTGCATTTCCCAATGGAACAGCAATAGAGACAGCTGAGGAGCTGATGTGCAGAGCCACCCACTGGATCTTGTTTCTATTTTTACAATTTCAATATTTCAGTAACTAATGTTTACTTGAATAACGTAGAATCACTTCTGTTTTTTCTCTTGTTTATAAAGCAGCTAAGTGACGATAACGTATTTATCTCTAATTAGGAGGGAAATAATACATTAGGAGAAAGAACTCGGGAAAAATCACAACTGCAGAGAGTGCAGGGCAATGTTAGTTTCCATCTCCAAGGCCTCTGCTGACCGACATGGAAGCTGCCGGTTGTAGGCAGCTCAGTAAAGCAGAACAACGACTGTCAGGAAGTGAAGAGATCTAATTTCCAAAACCATGGAGTGTTTCCATGATCTTGAAGAAGGCACTTCACCTTTGAGCTTTAGTTCCTGAGTTTGTTAAAAGTAGGGGTTGGGTGAATTAAAATATAGAGACTCCTCATCAAGCCCCATATGATCAGGTCTCTGCTCATTTCTCTCCTTATCCCGCCCCTCCCTTCTCCTAGTCCACTAAGCTGCATCCACACTCTGTCCTGACTCTTAAGAAGCCTGTATCAGGGCCTTTGTGTTTGCTCTCATTATTTCCTGAGTTGCTCCCCTATCCTTTTCAAGATGAGACTGGTTCCTTTTACATTCAGGTTTCAGCTCAGACAGGTTTTCCCTTGATTCTCTTAGCTAAAGCAGTCCTCCCCGGTACTACTAAATCACTTGTTTCATATTATTCATAGTATTCATCACTTTCTGAGATCTCCTATTTGTATGTATATTCTCAATCTCTTTCCACTAGAAGGAGAGCTCCATGAGAGCAGACTCTGTCAATTTCGTTTAACGCTCCAGCCCCTATATCGAGAACAAAGTCTGGCCCGTAGTATGTGCTCAGTAAATGTCAAACAGCCAACTGAATAATAAAAATAACAATGAGTACTTGTATGAGTCTGCAATTTTCAAAATACTCTGCAAAGTTTAGTCTCATTCAGGCTTCACTATCCTGTAAGTTAAGCAAAAATTATTGTATTTCATCACCAAGACTGAATTATTTTACTAGTAAGATAATCAGTTCAGTAATTTTTGAGGCTATGAAAAGGGGAAGAAACACTATATTTAATGTGCTTACAAATTTTAAGGCTGGATCTGATTAAGAAACATCAATGATTAAAAAAGTACATACACGACTCAGAATCAAGAAAATTTCATGAATAATACCTGCTATTTGGATATGGTTTGTATGGCCCCACCAAGTTTCATCATAAAATTTGATCCTCAATGTTAGAGGTGGGGCCTGGGGTGAGAAGATCTCTCATGAAGGTTGGTGCCTTTTTCCTGGGCGTAAGTTCTTACTCTTAGTTCCCATGAGAGAACTAGTTGTTGAAAAGAGTCTTTCTTCCTCTTTCTCACCTCCTGTTTATAAATGACCCACCCTCAGGTATTCCTTCATAGCAACACAAACAAACAAGGACAATGCCCATTTAAAAAATTGGGGAGAAATGTTTCCAATGGCCTGAAGCTGGCCAGTGGTAGAGGCTGACTTTCAAACTATTGTTTCTTCTGGTGCCTTTGGTATCCCAAGTGTATTGGTCATAACTAGCATAATCTCCATTACCTTCCTTTTCATGGCTCAGAGGACAAAGGAGATACAACTCAAAACTAACTCTGCTATACGTTGGACATTCTTGGAATTCTAAAATCATCATTCTTCCTCATCTCTGCCTCCACATACCCTAGGTTTTAAAACAATGACTGAGAACTAAAAAGGATAAACATGAGCTTCAATGGACCCAAAAGGATTTGGTGAGAGAAAAGAATTAACTCAAATAGAATTACAAAGGAAGACAGAGGCTTCCGTTCACCAAATGTGGCCAGGGTGCTTGAGTACAGAGCTGGTTGGAAGTAGGAGGCTAGACTAGATGCCTCTCAAGGTCATTTCTAATCCTCGACTTTGGTTTTGGTTGGGGAGAAGAGTGAACATGATCAGGCATATTGAAACTTTACCCCAAGCATGTGTGAGTCTGCTGCATTGATAGCCTGTGAAATTAAATATCTAGGTCCTAAGAAATGAGAGATGTATTTCCTACAAAAGGACTTATGATAATAAAGTTTCTTTTTCAGGAGGTCTGAGAGGGGAAGGGGGTCATCAGAGGATTATACACTTACAGATGAAATCCACCTGCAGGGACCATCTCACCCAGCCTGGTTATTTTAGATACAAAAAATACAATAGTATTGCTCCTACCTCATCCGTGAGGCAACAGCAACCTGCTTGTTAAACATAATGATGCACTAGAGATCTTAGACCGGTGTCTGGCAAATAGTAAGTGTGAAAATATTTTGGTTAAGGTCATGATTATTATATTCTAAGTTGACAAATATTTAAATAAACACTTTGCTATGTGTAAAGACTTAAGAAGACAAAGTAAAACCACTACTAAGGAGCTTGCACTCCAGTAGAGAGAGAGAGATTACATCTATAGGTGTTGAAAGGGTCTGTGTGAGAAGTGGCTGTGGGTGGAAAGGGGACAGGCAGAACTTTTGTATTCAGTATAACTATTACACTTGGGTTCTCATGAGTAGATCTAAATAAAGACCAATTAGAAAATTGGAATAAAATAATGAAGAATAAGTTACCCAAGGAAGTATGAGACATTGAGGTGAAAATGATCATTTGTAATTAGAAATATATTAAATAATTCAGCCTGGTGCAGTGGCTCACGCCTATAATCCCAGCACTTTGGGAGACTGAAGAGGGTGGATCACTTGAGTCCAGGAGTTTGAGACCAGCCTGGCCAATATCGTGAAACCCTGTTTCTACCAAAAAAAAAAAAAAAAAAAAAAAAAAAGAGAAAACTTAGCAGGGCATGGTGGTGCACACCTGTAGTCCCAGCTACTTGGGAGGCTGACACAGGACAATCACTTGAACCTGGGAGGTGGAGGTTGCAGTGAGCTGAGATCACGCCACCGCACTCTAGCCTGGCCAACAGAGTAAGCCACTGTCAAAGAAAAGAAAAGAGAAAAGAAAAGAAGAGAAAAGAAAAGGAGTAAAGAGAAGAGAGAAAAAAGAGAAGAAAAGAGGAAAGAAAAGGAGAAAAAAGAAAAAAGAAAAGAGAAAAGAAGAAAGAAAAGAGAGAGAGAGAAAGAAAGAAAGAAAGATAGTTAAATTAAGTGTGCTTTTCCTACCCCCGGGTAGATAGTTCAGCGGGGCTGTCTATCTGGCATGCCACACTTTCCTGTGTTCTCT